>NC_000011.10:50669078-50821348 GCF_000001405.40 Homo sapiens
CAGATAGCTTCCTTATAGTTTATATCTTGGCATATTTACTTTTTCACCATCGGCCTCAATGAGCTCTTAAATGTCCATTTACACAATGGACAAAAAGAGTTTTTCAAATTGCTGAATCCAAAGAAAGTTTTAACTCTGTGAGATAAATGCACACATCACAAAGCAGTTTGTCAGAAAATTTCTTTCTTTCTATTTTTTATGTGAAGATATTTCCTGTTTCACCATAGTCATCAATACACTCCCAAATATCCCTTTGCAGATTCTGCCAAAACAGTGTTTCCAAACTGCTGAATCCAAAGAAAGGTTTACGTTTGTGAGGTGAATGCACACATCACAAAGTGGTTTCTCAGATAGCTTTCTTCTAGTTTTCATCCTGAGATGTTCACTTTTTCACCTTTGTCTTCAATGACCACTCAAATGTCCATTCACAGAATGCACAAAAACAGTATTTCCAAAGTATTGAATCTACAGAAAGTTTTAACTCTCTGAGATGAATGCACACATCACAATGTGGTTTCTCAGAAAGCTTCTATCTAGGTTTTATCTGAATATATTTCCTTTTCCACCGTAGGCCTCAATGCACTCCCAAATATCCCTTCGAGGATTCTACCAAAACAGTGTTTCCAACCAGCTGAATGAAAACAAAGGTAAAACCCTTGGATATGAGAGCACACATCACAGAGCCATTTCTCAGATAGCTTCCTTTTAGTTTTTATCCTGGGATATTGGCTTTATCACATATAGCCTCAATGATCTATCAAATATCCTTTCACAGATTGTACAAAAACAGTATTTCCAACTGCTGAATCTGTAGAAGAGTTTAACTCTTTGAGGTGAATGCACACATCACAAAGCACTTTCTAAGAAAGCTTCTTTCTTGTTTTTGTCTAAAGATATTTCCTTTTTCACCATAGGCCTCAATGCATTCCTAAATATCCCTTCACAGATTATAGCAAAACACTGTTTCCAAACTGCTGAATGAAAAAAAAAAAAAAGTCTAACTCTGCGAGATGAATGCACATATAACAGAGCAGTTTCTCAGATTGTTTCCTTCTATTTTTTGTCCTGGGATATTCGTTTTTTCCTGTTTGGCCTCAATGAACTCCCAAATGTCCATTCGCTGAATGAACAAAAACAGCTTTTCCAAACTACTGAATCCAAATAAACATTTAAATCTGTGAGATGAATGCACACATCACAAAGCAGGTTCTCAGAAAGATTCTTTCTAGTTTTTATCTGAAGACATTTCCTTTTTCACCATAGGCATTAATGTGCTCCCATATATCCCTTTGCAGATTCTACCAAAACAGTGTTTCCAAAAGGCTGAATGAAAAGAAATGTTTTCCCCTGTGAGATGAATGCAAACATCACAAAATTGTTTCTCATCTAGCTTCCTTCTAGTTTTTATCCTGGGATATTGGATTTTTTGCCTATGGCCTGTATGAGCAATTAAATATCCCTTCACAGATTCTACAAAAACAGTGTTTCCTAACTGCTGAATGAAAAGAAAGGTTTATCTCTGTGCGATGAATGCACAGATTACAAAGCTGTTTCTCAGAAAGCTTTCTTCTATTTTTTCTCCTGGAATGTTCACTTTTTCACATTTGGCCTCAATGACTTGCCGAATGTCCCTTCGCAGATTCTACCAAAACAGTGTTTCCAAACTGCTGAATGAAAAGACCAGTTTAACTCTGCAAGATGAATATACACATCACAAAGCGATTTTTCAGACCACTTCCTTTGTTTTTATTCTGGGATATTTGCTTTTTCACCTATGCCCTCAATGAGCTATCTAATATCAATTCTCACATTCTACAAAAACAGTGTTCCCAAACTGCTGAATCCAAAGAAAGTTTAACACTGTGAGATAAATGCACACATCGCAAAGCAGTTTCTCAGAAAATTTTTCAAGTGTTTGTCTGAAGATATTTCCTTTTTCAACATAGGCCTCTATGGGCTCCAAAATATCCGTTCAAAAAGTCTGCCAAAACCATATTTTGAATCTGCTGAATGAAAAGAAAGCTTTAGTTCTGTGAGATGAATGGACATATCACAAAACGGTTTCTCAGATAGCTTCCTTCTAGTTTTTATCCAGTGATATTCACTTTTTCACCAACGGCCTGAATGAGCTATCTAATATCAATTCGTAGATTCTACTAAAAGAGTGTTTCCAAATAGAAACAGAGAAAGTTTTATCTCTGTGAGATGAATGCAAGCATCACAAAGTGATTTCTCAAATTTCTTCCTTCTAATTTTTATCCTGGGATATTTGTCTTTTTACCTATAGCTTCCTTTAGCTATCTAATATGACTTCACAGTTTCCAGAAAAACAGTGTTTCCAAACTGCTGAATGAGAAGAAACGTTTATATTCGCCACATTAAGGCACATATGACAAAGCAGTTTCTCAGATAGCTTCCTTTGAGTTTTTATTCAGGGATATTCATTTTTTTGCCTTTGGCCTCAATGAACTCCCAAACATACCTTTGCAGTTTCTACAAAAGTAGTGTTTCCAAACTGCTGAATCCAAAGCAAGGTTTAACCCTGTGAGATGAATGCACACATCACAAAGCAGTTTCTAAGAAAGTTTCTTTATAGTTTTCACTAGAAGACATTTCCTTTTTCACCATAGGCCTCAATGTGCTCCCACATACACCTTCACAGATTCTACCAAAACAGTGTTTCCAAACTGCTGAATGAAAAGAAAGGTTTAACTCTGTTGGATGAATCAACCCATCACAAAGCAGTTTCTCAGAAAACTTCTTGCTACTTTTTATCTGAAGATATTTCCTTTTTTTTTTACCATGGGCCACCAAATATATCTTTGCAGATTCTAATAAAACACTCTTCCAAACTGCTGAATGAAAAGAAAGGTTTAACCCTTCTAGATGAATGCACACATCCCAAAGAAGTTTTTCAGATAACTTCCTTCTAGTTTTTATCCTGTGATATTCGCTTTTGCTTTTCACCTCAATGAGCTCCCCAATGTATATTCCAAGGAAGGACCAAAACTGTGTTTCCAAACTGCTGAATAAAAAGACAGATTTAATTCTCTAACATGAAGGCACACCTCGTGAACCAGTTTCTCATTATGCTTGTTTCTAGTTTAGTTGAAGATATTTCCTTTCTCACAATGGGCCTCCATGTGCTACTGAATACACCTTGGCAGATTGTAAGACAACAGTGTTTCTAAACAGCTGAATGAAAAGAGAGACTTAACTCTGTGACATGAATGCAAACATTACTAATCAGTTTCTGGGATCACTTCCTTCAAGTTTTTATACTGGGAGATTAGCTATTTCACCATTGGCCTCAGTGAGCTCCCAAATATCCATTCGCAGAATGGACAAAAACAGTATTTCCAAACTGCTGAATCCAAGGAAAGGTTTAATTCTGTGAGATGAATGAACACATCACACAGTAGTTTCTCAGAAAGTTTCTTGCTAGCTTTTATCTGAAGATATTTCCTTTTTCACCATGGGCCTCAATGCGCTACAAAATATCTCTTCACAGGTTCTAAGAAATCAGTGTTTCCAAACCTCTGAATAAAGAGAAATGTTTAACTCTGTGAGATGAATGCACACATCACAATGCCGTTTCTCAGATAGCTTCCTTCTAGTTTTAATACTGGATATTCACTTTTTCACCATTGGCCTCAATGAGCTCCCAAACGTCCATTCACAGAATGGACACAAACAGTGTTTCCAAACTGCTAAATCCAAAGAAAGTTTTAACTCTCTGAGATGAAAGCACATACCACGAATTTGTTTCTCACGTAAGTTCCTTCTAGTTTTTATCTTGGGATATTTTCTTTTTTGCCATTGGCCTCAATGTGCTCCAAAATGTCCATTGGCAAAATAGACACAAACAGCATTTCCAAACTGCGGAATCTAAAGAAATGTTTAACTCTGTGAGATGAATGAACACAACACAAAGCAGTTTCTCAGAAAGTTTCTTTCTAGTTTTCATCTGCAGATATTTTCTTTTTCGCCTTAGGCCCCAAGGTGCTGCCAAATATCCTTTCACTGTTTCTACAAAAACAGTGTTTTCAAACTGCTAGATGAATGCACACATCACTAAACAGTTTCTCAGATAGCTTCCTTCTAGTTTTAATCCTGGGATATTCTCTGTTTTGCCATTGGCTTCAATGAGCTCCCAAATGTCCACTCGCAAAATGGGCAAAAACTGTGTGACCAAACTGCTGAATCCAAAGAAAGGCTTAACTCTGTTGGATGAGTGAACACATCATGAAACGGTTTCTCAGAAAGCTTCTTGCTACTTTCTATATGAAAATATTTCCTTTTTCACCATGGGCCACAATGCGCTACAAAATATCTCTTTGAAGATTCTAAGCAAACACTGTTTCCAAATTGCTGAATGAAGAGAAAGGTTCAACTCTGTGAGATGAATGCACACATCAGCAAGAAGTTTCTCAGATAACTTCCTTCTAGTTTTATCCTGGGATATTCACTTTTTTATCATTGGCCCCAATGAGTTCCCCAATTTATATTCCAAGAAGGGACCAAAGTTGTGTTTCCAAACTGGTGAATACAAAGACATATTTAACTCTGAGATGAATGCACATGCCCTGAACCAGTTTATCCTTAAGGTTGTTTACAGTTTTTATCTGAAGATATTTCCTTTCTCACAATGGGCCTCCATGTGCTACAAAATATCTCTTGTCAGATTGTATACACCAGTGTTTCTAAACAGCTGAATGAAAAGAAAGATTTAACTCTGTGAGATGAATGCAAACATCACTACTCTGTTTCTGAAATCACTTCCTTCAAGTTTTTCTGCTGGGAGTTTTGCTATTTCACCATTGGCCTCAGTGAGCTCCTAACTATCCATTCACAGAAAGGACAAAAACAGTATTTCCAAACTGCTGCATCCGAGGAAAAGATTAACTCTGTGAGAAGAATGAACACATCACAATGTAGTTTCTCAGAAAGTTTCTTGCTAGTTTTTGTCTGAAGATATTTCCTTTTTCACAATGGGCCTCAATGCATTACAAAATATCTCTTCGCAGATTCTAAGAAATCAGTGTTTCCAAATAGCTGAATGAAGAGAAATGTTTAACTCTGTGAGATGAATGCACACATCACAAATGTGTTTCTCAGATAGCTTCCTTCTAGTTTTAACACTGGCATATTCGATTTTTTGTCTTTGGCCTCAATGAGCTCCCAAAGTCCATTCACAGAAAGGACACAAACAGTGTTTCCAAACTGCTGAAGTGAAAGAAAAGTTTACCTCTCTGAGATGAATGCACACATCGAGAATTGGTTTCTCATGTAACTCCCTTTTAGTTTTTATCTTGGGATATTTGCTGTTTCCCCGTCAGCCTCAATGAGCTGAAAAATGTCCATTCGCAGAATCGACAGAAACACGGTTTCCAAACTGCTGAATCCAAAGAAAATTTTAACTTAGTGGGATGAATGAATACATCACAAAGCAGTTTCTCACAAAGCTTCTTTCGAATTTTATCTGAAGATATATCCTTTTTCACCATAGGCCTCAATGTGCTGTCAAATGTCTCTTTGCAGATTCTAAAAAATCAGTGTTTCCATACTGCTGAATGAAAAGAAAGGTTTATCTCTGTGAGATGAATGCACACATCAAGAATTGGTTTCTCAGATAGCTTCCTTCTAGTTTTTGTCATGTGATATTCGCTTTTTTTTATATTAGCCTCAATGAGTTCCCAAACGTCCATTCCAAGAATGTACAAAAACTGTGTTTCCAAACTGCTGAAAGCAAAGACAGGTTTAACTCTCTGGGATGAATGCACATATGTCAAACGGGTTTCTCATTAGGCTTCTTTCTAGTTTTTATCAGAAGGTACTTCCTTTTTCACCATTGACCTCCATAGTCTTCCAAATATCTCTTGGAAGATCCTAAGAAACCAGTGATTCTAAACAGCTGAATGAAAAGAAAGGTTTAACTCTGTGTGCTGAATGCACACATCATGAGCAGTTTTCTCAGATAAATTGCTTCAAGTTTTTATCCTGGGATATTTGCTTTTTCACCCTTGGTCTCAATGTGCTCCAAAATGTCCATTGGCAAAATGGACACAAACAGCATTTCCAAATTGCTGAATCCAAAGAACTGTTTAACTCTGTGAGATGAATGAACACATCACAAAGCAGTTTCTCAGAATGTTTCTTTCTGGTATTTATCAAAAGATATTTCCTTTTTCACCTTAGGCCTCAAAGAGCTGCCAAATATCCTTTCACAGTTTCTACAAACACAGTGTTTCCAAACTGCTGAATTAAAAGAAAGGTTTAACTCTGCTGGATGAATGCACACATGACTAAGCGGTTTCTCAGATACCTTCCTTCTAGTTTTAATCCTGGGATATTCTCTTTTTCGCCATTGGCTTCAATGAGCTCCCAAACCTCCATTGGCAGAAAGGACAAAAACAGTGTGACCAAGCTTCTGAATCCAAAGAAAGGCTTAACTCTGTTGGATGAATGAACACATCACCAAGCAGTTTCCAGAAAACTTCCTGCTACTTTTTAACTGAAGATATTTCCTTTTCCACCATGGGCCACAGTCCTCTACCAAATACCTCTTTGCAGATTCTAAGAAAACACTCTTTCGAAACTACTGAATGAAAAGAAAGGTTTAACTCTGCTAGATGAATGCACATGTCACCAAGAAGTTTCTCAGATAACTTGCTTCTAGTTTTTATCCTGAGATAAGCGCTTTCTTTCAATTGGCTTCAATGAACTCCCAAATGTCTATTTGCAGGATTGAGAGAAACAGTGTTTTGAAACTGCTGAATTAGAAGAAAGGTTTAACTCTGAGAGATGAATGTACACATAATGAATTGGTTTCTCAGACAAATTCCTTCAAGTTTTTATCCTGCGATATTTGCCTTTTTGCCATTGGCCTCAATGAGTTACCAAACGTCCATTCCAAGAATGTACAAAAACTGTGTTTCCAAACTCCTGATACCAAAAACAGGTTTAACTCCCTGAGATGAATGCACACATGCCAAATGGGTTTCTCATTGGGCTGCTTTCTAGATTTTATCAGAAATATTTCCTTTTTCACCAGTGACGTCCATAGTCTTCCACATATCTCTTGGCAGATTCTAAGAAAACAGTGATTCTAAACAGCTGAATGAAAAGAAATGTTTAACTCTGTGAACTCAATGTACACATCATGAGTAGCTTCATCAGATAAATTGCCTCAAGTTTTTATCTTGGGATATTCACTTTTTCAACATTGGTCTCAATGTGCTCCAAAATGTCCATTGGCAAAATGGACATAAACAGCATTTCCAAACGGCTGAAACCAAAGAAGGCTTTAAATCTCTGAGATGAATGAACACCTCACAAAGCAGTTTCTCAGAATGTTTCTTTCTAGTTTTTATATGAAGATATTTCCTTTTTCACGTTAGTCTTCAATGAGCTGCAAATATGCTTTCGCAGTTTTCACAAACACAGTGTTTCCAAGCTGCTTAATGAAAACAAATGTTTAACTCGGCTACATGAATGCACACATCACTAAGCAGTTTTTCAGATAGCTTCCTTCTAGTTTTAATCCTGGGATATCCTCTTTTTCACAACTGTCTTCAAAGAGCTCCCAAACGTCCATTCGCAGAATGGACAAAAGCAGTGTCACCAAACTGCTGAATACAAAGAAAGGCTTAACTCTGTTGGATGAATGAACACATCACCTGGCAGTTTCTCAAGAAGCTTCCTGCTACCTATATCTGAAGACGTTTCCTTTTCCACCATTGGACACAATGCAGTACTGGGCATTCATCTCATAGAGTTGAACAATTCTTTTGACTGAGCAGTTTGGAAGCAGTCTTTTGTAGAATCTGGAAAGGAATATTTGGGAGCAATTTGAGGCCTATGGTGAAAAAGGAAATATCTTCACATAAAAACTAGAAAGAAGCTTTCTGAGAAACTACTTTGTGATGAGTGCATTCATATAACAGAGGTAAACGTTTCTTTTCATTGAGCAGTTTGGAAACTCTTTTTGCAGAATCTTCAAAGAGATATTTGTGAGCGCTTTGAGGCCTACAGTGAAAAAGGAAATATCTTCACATAAAAACCAGACAGAAACTTTCTGAGAAACTTCTTTGTGATGCGTACATTCATCTCATAGAGTTGAACCATTCTTCTGAATGAGCAGTTTGGAAAAAGTCTTTTTGAAGAATCTGCAAAGGGATATTTGGGAGTGCTTTGAGGCTTATGGAGAAAAAGGAAATATCTTCAAATAAAAACTAGAAAGAAGCTTTCTGAGAAACTGATTTGTGGTGTGTGCATTCATCTCAGATAGGTAAACGTTGCTTTTCATTGAGCAGTTTGGAAACTCTGTTCTTCTAGAATCCACAAAGGGATATTTGTGTACGCTTTGAAGCCTATAATGAAACAGGGAATATCTTCATATAAAAACTAGACAGAAGCTTTCTGAGAAACTGCTTTGTGATGTGTGCATTCATCTCACAGAGGTAAATGTTTCTTGTCATTGAGCAGTTTGGAAACTCTGTTCTTCTGGAATCTGCAAAGGGATATTTCTGAGTGCTTTGAGGCCTGTGGTGAAAAAGGAAATGTCTTCACATAAAAACTATGCAGAAGCTTTCTGAGAAACGTTTTTGTGATGTGTGCATTCATCTCACAGAGTTGAGCATTCTTTTGATTGAGAAATTTGGGGGCACAGAGTTTGTAGAATCTACAAAGGGATATTTGCATTCACATGGTGGCCTGAGGTGGAAAAGGAAATATCTTCCAACACAAACTAGACAGAAGCTTTCTGAGAAACTGCATTGTGATGTATGCATTCATCTCACAGAGTGAACCCATGCCTTTCATTAACCAGTTTGGAACCACTCTTTTTGTAGAACATGCAAAAAGATATTTGGGATCACCTTGAGGCCTATGGTGAAAAAGGAAATATCTTCACATGAGAGCTAGACAGAAGCTTTCTGAGAAACTTCTCTGTGATCTGTGCATTCATCTCACAGAGTTGAACCACACTTTTGATTGAGCAGTGTGCAAACAATATTTTGTAAAACCTGTATAGGCATATTTGGGAGTGTTTTGAGGCCTATCATGGAAAAGATATATCTTCACATTAAAACTAGAAAGAAGCTTTCTGAGAAAGTGATTTGTGATGTGTGCATTCATCTCACAGAGTTGAACCATTCTTTTGATTGAGCAGTTTGGAAACAGTCTTTTTGTAGAATCTGCAAAGGGATATTTGGGAGCACTTTGAGGCCTATGGTGAAAAAGGAAATATCTTCACATAAAAACTAGAAAGAAGCATTCTGATAAATTTCTTTGTGATGCATGCATTCATCTGACAGAGTTGAACCATTATTTTCATTGAGCAGTTTGGAAACAGACCTTTTTTAGCATCTGCAAAGGGATATTTGGAAGTGATTTGAGGCCTATGGTGGAAAAGGAAATATCTTCACATAAAAACTAGAAAGAGGCTTTCTGAGAAACTGCTTCATGATGTATGCATTCATCTCACAGAGATAAATGATTCTTGTCATTGAGCAGTTTGGAAACTCTGTTGTTCTAGAATCTGCAAAGCGATATTTCTGAGCGCTTTGAGGCCTATGGTGAAAAAGGAAATATCTTCACATAAAAATTTTGCAGAAGCTTTCTGAGAAACTACTTTGTGATGTGTGCATTCAATGCACAGAGTTGAACCTTTCTTTGATTGGGAAATTTGGAAGCACAATGTTCATAGAATCTGCGGAGGGATATTTGCACTTGCATGGAGACCTGAGGTGGAACAGATAATATCTCCTGACACAAACTGGAAAGAAGCTTTCTGATAAAGTGCTTTGTGATGTGTGCATTCATCTCAAAGAGTGGAACCATTCTTTTCATTGACCAGATTGGAACCACTCTTTTTGTGGAATCTCCTCAGGGATATTTGGCAAGGCTTTGAGGACTATGGTGAAAAAGGAAATATGTTCAGAGAAAAACTAGACAGAAGCTTTCTGAGAAACTTCTTTGTGATGTGTGCCTTCATCTCACAGTGTTGAACCATTCTTTTGATTGAGCAGTTTGGAAACAGTCTTTTTGTAGAATCTGCAAAGAGATATTTGGGAGTGCTTTACGCCTATAGTGAAAAAGGAAATATCTTCACATAAAAACTAGAAACAAGCTTTCTTAGAAACTGCTTTGTGATGTGTGCATTCATCTCACAGAATAGAACCATTCTTTTGATGGCACTGATTGGAACAGTATTTTTCTAGAATCTGCAAAGGGTTATTTGGGAGTGCTTTGAGGCCTCTGGTGAAAAAGGAAATATCTTCACATAAAAACTATACAGAAGCTTTCTACAAAACTGCTTTGTGATGTGTGCATTCAGCTCACAGTGTTGAACCATTGTTTTGATTGAGCAGTTTGGAAAAAGTCTTTTTGTAGAATCTGCCAAGGGATATGTGGGAGTGCTTTGAGGCTCATGGTGAAAAAAGAAACATCTTCACATAAAAACTAGAAAGAAACTTTCTGAGAAACTGCTTTGTGAT
Organism: Homo sapiens; assembly: GCF_000001405.40. Taxonomy (NCBI): domain Eukaryota; kingdom Metazoa; phylum Chordata; class Mammalia; order Primates; family Hominidae; genus Homo; species Homo sapiens. The sequence goes on from NC_000011.10 coordinate 50,679,578, forward strand.
GTGTGCATTCATCTCACACGGGTCAACATTTCTTTTCATTGAACACTTTGGAAATTCTATTCTTCTAGAATCTAGAAAGTTATATTTCCATGCTCTTTGAGGCCTATGGTGATAAAGGAAATATCTTCAGGTAAAAACTAGACAGAAGCTTTCTGAGAAAGTTCTTTGGGAGGTGTGTATTCATCTCTTAGAGTTGAACAATCCTTTTTATGGAAAATTTTGAAAACACAGTGTTTGTAGAATCTGTGAAGGGGTATTTTCATTCACATAGATGCCTGAGGTGGAAAAGAAATAACTTCCAACAGAAACTAGACAGAAGCTTTCTGAGAAACTTCTTTGTGATGTGTGCATTCATCTGACAGCGTTGAACCATTCTTTTGATTGAGCAGTTTCAACACCATCTGTTTGTAGAATCTCCAAAGGGTTATTTGGGAGTGTTTTGAGGCCTATTGTGAAAAATGAAACATCTTCATGTAAAACTAGAAAGAAGCTTTCTGAGAAACTGCTTTGTGATCTGTGCATTCATCTCTCAGAGGTAAACGTTCCTTTTCATTGATGAGTTTGGAAACTCTGCTCTTGTAGAATCTGCAAATGGATATTTATGAGCGCTTTGAGGCCTAGGGTGAAAAAGGAAATATCTTCCCATAAAAACTAGACAGAAGATTTCTGAGAAAGTTCTTTGTGATGTGTGTATTCATCTCTTAGAGTTGAACAATCCTTTTTACAGAAAATTTTGAAAACACAGTGTTTGTAGAATCTGTGAAGGGATATTTTCATTTGCATAGTTGCCCGAGGTGGAAAAGAAATAACTTCTGACAGAAACTAGACAGAAGCTTTCTGAGAAACTACTTTGTGATGTGTGCATTCATCTCACAGAGTTGAACCATTCTTTTCATTGAGCAGTTTGGAACTACTCTTTTTGTGGAAAGTGCTAAGGGACAGAAGGGAGCACTTTCAGGCCTATGGTGAAAAAGGAAATATCGTCACATAAAAACTAGTCAGAAGAGTTCTGAAAAACTTCTTTGTGATGTGTGCATTCATCTCACAGAGTTGAACCTCTCTTTTGATTGAGCAGTTTGGAAAGGGTCTTTTTGTAAAATCTGCAAAGGTATATTTGGGAGAATTTTGAGGCCTACAGTCAAAAAGGAAATATCTTCACATAAAAAATGGACAGAAGCTTTCTGTGAAAATTCTTTGTGATGTGTGCATTCATCTCATATGATTGAACCATTCTTTTGATTGAGCAGTTTGGGAACTTTGTTTTTATAGGATGTTCAAAGGGATATTTGGGAGCACTTTGAGACCAATTGTGAAGAAGGAAATATCTTCACATAAAAACTAGAAAGAAGCTTTCTAGGAAACTGCTTCATGATGTGTGCACTCATCTCACAGAGGTAAAGGTTTCTTTTCATAGAACAGTTTGGAAAATCTATTCTTCTAGAATCTGCAAAAGGAATGTTTGTCAGCATTTTGAGGCCTATGGTGAAAAAGGAAATATCCTCACATGAAAACCAGACAGAAGCTTTCTGAGAAACTTCTTGGTGATGTGTGCATTTATCTCATAGAGTTATACCTTTCTTTTGATTATGCAGTTTGGAAACAGTCTTTTTCTAGAATCTACAAAGGGATATTTGGGAGCGGTTTGAGGCATATGATGAAAAAGGAAATATCTTCACATAAAAACTAGAAAGAATCTTTCTGAGAAATGCCTTTGTGATCTGTGCATTCATTTAAAGGGGTCAAAGTATGTTTTCATTGACCAGTTTGGAAACTCTGCTTTTCTAGAATCTGCAAAGGGTGTATTTGTGAGCGCTTTGAGGCTTATGGTGAGAAAGTAAATATCTTCACATGAAAACTAAATAGAAGCCTTCTGAGAAAGCACTTTGTGATGTGTGGATTCATCTGACAGAGTTGAACAACCTTTTGATTGAAAATTTTGGAAACACAGTGTTTGTAGAATCTGTGAAGGGATATTTGTATTAGCAGAGATGCCTGAGGTGGAAAAGTAATATGTTCTGACAGAAACAAGACAGAAGCTTACTGAGAAACTGCTTAATGATGTGTGAATTAATATCAGAGATTTGAGCCATTCTTTTCTTTGAGCAGTTTGGAACCACATTTTTGTAGAATCTTCTAAGTGATATTAGGGAGTGTTTTGAGGCCAATGATGAAAAAGGAAATATCTTCACATAAAAATTAGTCAGAAGCTTTCTGAAAAACTTATTTGTGATGTGTGCATTCAGCTCACAGAGTTGAACCATTCTTTTGATTCAGCAGTTTGGAAACTGTCTTTTTGTAGAATCTTCAAAGGGATATTTGGGAAAGCTTTGAGGCCTATGGTGAAAAGGAAATATCTTCACATAAAAACCAGACAGAAGCTTCCTGAGAAACTTCTTTGTTATATCCACACTAATCTCACTGAGTTGAACCATACTTCTGACTGCGTAGTTTGGAAACAGTCTTTTTGTAGAATCTGAAAAGGGATATTTGGGATCACTTTAAGGCCAATGGTGAAAAAGGAAATATCTTCACATAAAAACTAGAAAGAATCTTTCTGAGAAACTTATTTGTGATGTGTGCATTCATCTCACAGAGTTGAAACTTTCCTTTGATTGAGCAGTTTAGAAACAGTCTACTTGTAGAATCTGCAAAGAGATATTTGTGAGCAGTTTGAGGCCTATGGTGAAAAAGGAAATAACTTCATATTAAAACTAAACAGAATCTTTTGGGAAAACTTCCTTGTGATGCGTGCACTCATCCCACAGGGTTGAACAATCCTTTTGACAGAAAATTTTGGAAACACAGTGTTTGTAGAATCTGCCAAGGAATATGTTCATTCACATAGATGCCTGAGGTGGAAAAGTATATCTTCTTATGGAAACTTGACAAAAGCTTTCTGATAAACTGCTTTGTGATGTGAGCATTCATCTGACAGAGTTGAACCATTATTTACATTGAGCAATTTGGAACTACTCTTTTTGTAGAATGTGCTAAGGGATAGAAGGGGGCTCTTTCAGCCCTAGAGTGAAAAAAGAAATAGCTTCACAGAAAAACTATAAAGAAGGTTTCTGAGAAACTGCTTTGTGATGTGTGCATTCATCTCACAGAAGTAAACGTTTCTTTTCATTTAGCAGTTTGCAAACTCTGTTCTTATAGAACCTGCAAAGGGAAATTTGTGAGCACTTTGAGGCCTATGGTGAGAAAGGAAGTATCTTCCCATAAAAACTAGACAGAAGCTTTCTGAGAAACGTTTCTGTGATGTGTGCATTCACCACACAGAGTTGAAACATATTTTTGATTTTGCAGTTTGGAAACAGTCTTTTTGGAGATTCTACAAAGGGATATTTGGGAGCACTTTGGGGCCTATGGTGAAAAAGAAAACATCTTCACATCAAAACTAGAAAGGAGCTTTCTCAGAAACTGCCTTGTGATGTGTGCATTCAACTCACAGAGGTAAAAGTTTCTTTTCACTGAGCAGATTGGAAACTCTGTGCTTCTAGAATCTGCAATGCGATATTTGTGAGTGCTTTGAGGCCTTTGGTGAAAAAGGAACTATCTTCACATAAAAATTAGACAGACCCTTTCTGAGAAACTGCTTTGTGATGTGTACATTCGTTTCACATAGTTGAACTAGTCTTTTGATTCAGCAGTTTGTAAACAGTCTTTTTGGTGAATCTGCAAAGGGATATTTGGAAGCGATTTGAGGACTATGGTGAAAAAGGATATATCTTCACATAAAACTAGAAAAAAGCTTTCTGAGAAACTGCTTTTTGATGTGTGCATTCTTCTTAGAGAGGTAAATGATTCTTCTCATTGAGTTGTTTGGAAACTCTGTTCTTCTAGAATTTCCAAATGGATATTTCTGAGTGCTTTTAGGCATATGGTGAAAAAGGAAATATCTTCACATAAAAACTAGAGAGAAGCTTTCAGAGTGTCTGGTTTGTGATGTGTGCATTCATCTCACAGAGGTAAATGTTTCTTTTCATTGACGGTTTGAAAACTTTGTTCTTCTAGAATCTGCAAAGGGATATTTGTGAGCCCTTTGATTTCTATGGTGGAAAAGGAATTGTCTTCACAGCAAAACTAGGCAGAAGCTTTCTCCAAAATTTCTTTATGATATGTGCATTCATTTCTCAATGGTGAACCATTCTTTTGATTGAGAAGTTTGGAAAATGTCTTTTTGTAGAATCTGCAAAGGGATATTTGGAGCACTTTGAGGTCCATAGTGAAAAAGAAAATATCATCACATAAAAACTAGAAAGAAGTTTTAGGAGAAACTGCTTTGTGATGTCTGCATTCATCTCGCAGAAGTAAATGATTCTTTTCACTATGCAATTTGGAAACTCTGTTTTTCTAGAATCTGCAAAGGGATATTGGTGAGCGCTTTGAGGCCTAAGGTGAAAAAGGAAATATCTTCTCATAAAAACTACAAAGAAGCTTTCTGAGAAACTTCTTTGTGATGTGTGCATTCATCTCACAGACTTGAACCATTCTTTTGATTGAGCAGCGTGGAAACAGTCTGTCTCTAGAATCTGCAAAGGGATATTTGGGAGCGCTTTGAGGCCTCTGGTGAAAAAGGAAATACCTTCATATAAAAACTGGAAAGATGCTTTATGAGAAACTGCTTTGTGATGTGTGCATTTATCTCACAGAGATAAAAGTTTCTTTTCATTGAGCAGTTTGGAAACTCCGATCTTCTAGAATCTGCAAAGACATATTTATGAGTGAATTGAGGCCTATTGTGAAAAAGGAAATAGCATCACATAAAAAGTGTACAGAACCATTCTGAGAAATTTCTATATGATGTATGCATTCTTCCCACAGAATTGACCATTTCTTTTTTTAGGCAGTTTGGAAACAGTCTTTTTGCAGAATCTGCAAAGTGATATTTGGAAGCTGTTTGAGGCCTATAGTGAAAAAGGAAATGTTTTCATATGAATCTAGACAGAACTTTCTGAAAAACTACTTTATGATGTGTGTGTTCATCTCACAGAGTTGAACCATTCTTTTGATTGAGCAGTTTGGAAAGAGTCTTTTTGTAGAATCTGCAAAGGGATATTTGGGAACACTTTGAGGCCTATGGGGAAAAAGAAAATATCTTGACATTAAAAACTAGAAAGAAGGCTTTTGAGAAACTGGTTTGTAATGCATGCATTCATCTCACAGAGCGGAACCATTCTCTTGATTGAGCAGTTTGGAAACCTTCTTTTTGAATAATCTGCATTGGGTATTTTGGAGCGCTTTGAGGCCTATCATGGAAAAGGAAATATCGTCACATAAAAACTAGACAGAAGTATTCTGAGAAACTTCATTTTGATGTGTACATTGAACTAACAGAGTAGAATATTTCTTTTCATTGAGCAGTTTGAAACAGTCTTTTTGTAGTATCAGCAAATGGATAGTTGGAGCGCTTTGAGGCCTATGGTGGAAAAGGAAATTTCTTCACATGAAAACTAGACAGAAGCATTCTGAGAAACTACTTTTTGATGTGTGCATTCATCTCACAGAGTTGAAACTTTCTTTTGATTGACCAGTTTGGGAACACTCTTTTTGTAGAATCTGCAAGTCGACATTTGGAGCGCTTTGAGGCCTATGGTTGAAAAGGAAATATCTTCACATAGAAACTAGATGGAAGCATTCTGAGAAAGTTCTTTGTGATGTGAGCATTCATCTCACAGAGTTGAACCTTTCTTTTGATTCAGCAGTTTGGAGATAGTCTTTTTGTAGTATCTGCAATTGGATATTTGGAGCGCTTTGGGTCCTTTGGTGGAAAAGGACATATCTACACATAAAAATTAGACAGAAGCATTCTGAGAAACTTCTCTGTGATGTGTGCATTCATATCATAGATTTGAACCTTTCTATTGATTGAGTAGTCTTGGAACACTCTTTTTGGAGAATCAGCAAGTGGATATTTGGAGTGCATTGAGGCCTATCATGACAATGGAAATATCTTCACATAAAAACTAGACAGACGCATCTTGACAAACTACTTTGAGATGCATGCATTCATCTCACAGAGCTGAACCTTTCCTTTGATTGGGCAGTTTTGAAACACTCTTTCTGTAGAATCTGCAAGTGGATATTTGGGGCGCTTTCTGGCCTATAGTGGAAAAGGAAATATCTTCAAATAAAATATAGACAGAAGCATTCTGAGAGACTTCTTTGTGATGTGTGCATTTATCTCACAGAGTTTAAACTTTCTTTTGGTTGAGCAGTTTTGAAGAACTCTTTTTGTAGAATCTGCAAGTGGATATGTGGAACGCTTTGAGGCCTACGGTGGAAAAGAAAATATCCTCACATAAAAACTAGACAGAAGCATTCTGATAAACTTCTTTATGATGTGTGTATTCATCTCACAGAGTTGAACCTTTCTCCTGATTGAGCACTTTTGAAACACTCTTTTTGTAGAATCTGCAAGTGGATATTTGGAGCTTTTTGCTGGCTATAGTGGAAAAGGAAATATCTTCCCAGAAAAACTAGACAGAAGCATTCTGAGAAAATTATTTGTGATGTGTGCATCCCACTCACACAGTTGAACCTTTCTATTGATTGAGCAGTTTGGAAACAGTCTTTTTGTAGTATCTGCAAATGGATATTTGGAGCACTTTGAGACCTATAGTGGAAAAGGAAATATCTTCACATAAAAACTAGACAGAAGCATTCTGAGAAACTTATTTGTGATGTGTGCATTCACTTCCCAGAGTTGAAGGTTTCTTTTAAATGAGCAGTTTTGAAACACTCTTTTTGTAGAATCTGCAAGTAGATATTTGGTGTGCTTCGGGTCCTACAATGGAAAGCAAAATATCTTCACAGAAAAACTGGACAGAAGCATCGTCAGACACTCCTTCATGATGTGTGCATTCTTCCCAGAGTTGAAACTTTTTTTGATTGATCAGTTTTGAAACACTCTTTTTGTAGAATCTGCAAATGGATATTTGGAGCACTTTGATGCCCATGGTAGAAAAGGAAATATCTTCACATAAAAATTACAGAGAAGAAGTCTGTGAAACTTCTTTGTGATGTGTGCATTCACCTCACAAAGTTGAACCTTTCTTTTGATTGTGCAGTTTGGAAACAGTCTTTTGTATTATCTGCAAATGGTTAATAGGAGCACTTTGAGGCCTATTGTGGAAAAGGAAATACCTTCACATAAAAACTAGACAGAAGGATTCTGAGAAACTTGTAAGTGATGTGTGCATTCACCTCACAGAGTTGAACCTTTCTTTTGATTGAGCGGTTTTGAAACACTTTTTGTCGAATCTACAGGTGGATATTTGGAGCTCCTAGAGGCCTAAGATGGGAAAGGAAATATCTTCACATAAAAACTGGACAGAAGCATTCTGACGAACTTCCTTGTGATGTGTACATTCATCTCACAGAGTTGAACATTTCTTTTGATTGAACAGTGTAGAAAGAGTCAATTTGTAGAATCTGTAAAGGGATATTTGTGAGCCCATTGAGGCTTCTGGGGAAATAGAAAATATCTTCACATAAAAACTAGATGGAAACTTTCTGAGAAACTTCTTTATGATGTCTGCTTACATCTTACAGAGTTGAAACTTTCTTCTTATTGAGAGTTTAGAAACAGTCTTTTTGTAGAATCGACAAATGGCTATTTCTATCTTTTTGTGGCCTATGATGAAAAAGGAAATATCTTCACATAAAAACTAGACAGAAGAATTCTGAGAAACTTGTATGTGATGTGTGCATTCATCTCACAGAGTTGAACCTTTCTTTTGATTGAGCAGTTTTGAAACACTTTTTGTAGAATCTACAGCTGGATATTTGGAGCTCCTAGAGGCCTAAGGTGGGAAAGGAAATATCTTCATATAAAAACTGGACAGAAGCATTCTGACGAACTTCCTTGTGATGTGCACATTCATCTCACAGAGTTGAACATTTCTTTTGATTGAGCAGTATAGAAAGAGTCGATTTGTAGAATCTGTAAAGGGATATTTGTGAGCCTATTGAGGCTTCTGGGGAAATACAAAATATCTTCACATAAAAACTAGACAGAAACTTTCTGAGAAACTTCTTTAAGATGTCTGCTTACATCTTACAGAGTTGAAACTTTCTTCTTATTGAGAGTTTAGAAACAGTTTTTGTAGAATCGACAAATGGCTATTTCTAGCTCTTTGTGGCCTATGATGAAAAAGGAAATATCTTCAAATAAACACTAGACAGAAGAATTCTGAGAAACTTCTTTGTGATGTGTGCATTCATTTCACAGAGTTGAACCTTTCTTTTGGTTGAGCAGTTTGGAAACAGTCGTTTTGAAGAATATGAAGAGGATTATTTTTGAGCCCATTGAGGCCTACGAGGTAATAGGAAATATCTTCACATAAAAACTGGTCAGAAACATTCTGAGAAACTACTTTGTGATGTGTGCTTTCATTTCACAGAATTGAAATTTTGTTTTGATCGAGCAGTATGGAAACAGCGTTTTTGTGGTACCTACAAATGGATATTTGGAGCATTTTGAGGCCTATGGTGAAAAAGGAAATATCTTCATATAAAAACTAGGCAAAATATTATGAGAAACTTATTTGTGATGTGTGCATTCATTTCACAGAGTTGAACCTTTCTTTTGATTCAGAATTTTGGAAACAGTCATTTTCAGAATTTGCAGAGGAATATTTGGGAGGCCATTGAGGCCTATGGGGCAATAGGAAATATCTTCATATAGAAACTAGACAGAAGCTTTCTGAGAAACTAATCTGCGATGTATGCATTCATCTCACAGAGTTGAACCTCTCTTTTGATTGAACAGTTTGGAAACAGTCTTTTTGTAGAATCTGAAAATGGATATTCGGAGCACCTTGAGGTCTATGGTGGAAAAGGAAATATCTTCAAATAAAAACTAGACAGAGACATTCTGAGAAACTTCTCTGTGACGTGTGCATTCATCTGACAGAGTTGAATCTTTCTTTGGATTGAGCAGTTTTGAAACCTTGTTTTTGTAGAATCTGAAAGTGGATATTTGAAGCACTTTCAGTCATATGGTCTAAAAGGAAATATCCTCACATAAAAAGCAGACAGAAGCATTCTGAGAAACATCTTCATGATATCTGCTTTCCATTCACAGAGATGAACTTTTCTTTTGATTGAGAAGTTTGGAAACAGTCTTTTTGTAGTATCTGCAAATGGATATTTGGATCGCTTAGAGGCCAATGGTGGAAAAGGAAATATCTTCACGTAAAAACTAGACAGAAGCATTCTGAGAAACTTCTTTGTGAAGTGTGCATTCGTCTCACAGAGTTGAACTTTCTTTTTATTGAGCAGTTTTGAAACACTCTTTTTGTAGAATCTGTCATTGCATATTTGGAGTGCTTTGTGGCCTACTGTTGAAAAGGGAATTTCTTCACATAAAAACTAGACAGAAGCATTCTGAGAAAGTTTTTGTGATGTGTGTATTCAACTCACAGAGTTGAACTTTTCTTTTGATTGAGCAGTTTGGAAAGAGATTTTTATAGTAGCTGCAGATGGATATTTAGAGTGCATTGAGGCCTATAGTGGAAAAGGAAATATCTTCACATAAACACTAGACAGAAGCATTCTGAGAAACTCCTTTGTGATGTATGCATTCATCTCAAAGAGGTGAACATTTCTTTTGATTAACCATTTTGGAAACACTCTTTTTTTAGAATCTGCAAGTGAGTATTTTGAGCTCTTTGAAGGCTATATTGGAAAAGAAAATATCTTCACATAAATACTTGACAGAAGCATTCTGAAAAACTTCTGTGTGATGTGTCCATTCAACTCACAGAGTTTAACCTTTCTTTTGATTGAGCAGTTTGGAAACAGTCTTTTGTAGTATGTGCAAATGGATATATGGAGCACTTTGAAGTCTGAGGTGTAAAAGTAAATGTCTTAACATAAAAACCAGACAGAAAAATTCTGAGAAACTTCTTTGTGATGTGGGCATTCATCTCACTGTGTTGAGCCTTTCTTTTGATTTAACAGTTTTGAAACACAGTTTTTGTAGAATCTGCAAGCGGATATTTGGTACAATTTGCAGCCTATGGTGGAAAAGCAAACATCTTCATATTAAAACTAGACAGAAGCATTCTGAGAAACTGCTTTGTGATGAGTGCATTCATTTCACAGAGTTGTGCCTTTCTTTTGGTTGAGCAGTTTTGAAACACTCTTTTTGTAGAATGTGTGAGGGGATATTTGGAGCGTTTTGCACCCTATAGTGGAAAAGGAAATAAATTCACTTAAAAACTACACAGAAGCATTCTGACAAACTTGTTCCTGATGTGTGAATTCATCTCACAGAGGTGAACCTCTCTTTTGATTAAGCTGTTTTGAAAAACTCTTTTTGTAGAATCTGCAAGAAGATATGTGGAGCACTTTGTGGCCTATGGTGGAAAGGAAATAACTTTGCATAAAAACTAGAGAGAAGCATTCGGTTAAACCTCTTTATGATGTGAGCATTCAACATAGAAAGACGAAGCTTTGTTATGATTGAGCAGCTTTGATAACGTCTTTTTATAATATCTGCAAATCGATATTTGGAGTGCTTTGAGGCCTATAGTGGAAAAGGAAATATCTTCACATAAAATCTAGACAGAAGAATTGGGAGAAATTACTTTGTAACGTGTGCATTCAACTCACAGAGTTGAACCATTCTTTGATTGAGCAGTTTGGAAACAGTCTTTCTGTAGCATTGACAAATGGATATTTGGAGCACTTTGAGGTCTATGGGGGAAAAGGAAATATCTTGGCATAAAAGCTAGACAGAAATATTCTCAGAAACTTCTTTGTGATGTATGCATTCAACTCACAGAATTGAACCTTTCTTTTGATTGAGAACTTTGGAAACACTCTTTTTGTAGAATCTACAAATGGATATTTGGAGCACTTTGGGGGCAATAGCTGAAAAGGAAATATCTTCCCATAAAAACTTGACAGAAACATTCTGAGAAACTCCTTTGTGATGTGTGCATTCATCTTATAGAGTTGAACCCTTCTTTTGATTGAGAAGTTTTGAAACACTCTTTTTGTAGAATCTGCAAGTGTATGTTTGGAGTGCTTTGAGGCCTATTGTGGAAAAGGAAATATCTTCACATAAAAACTAGACAGAAGCATTCTCAAAAACTTATTTATGATGTGTGCATTCAACTCACACAGTTGAAGCTTCCTTTTCATTGAAGAGTTTGAAAACACTCTTCTTGTCATATCTGCAAATGGATATTTGCAGTGCATGCGCATTGAGACATACAGGTGAAAAGGAAATATCTTCACATAAAAACTAGACAGAAGGATTCTGAGAAACTGCTTTGTGATGTGTGCATTCATCTCACAGAGTTGAACATTTCTTTTGATTGAGCAGCTTTGAAACACTCTTTTTGTAGAATCTGAAAGTGGATATTTGCAGCTCTTTGAGGCCTATGGTGGAAAAGGAAATATCTTCACATAAAAACTAGACAGAAGCATTCAGAGAAACTTCTTTGTGATGTGTGCATTCATCTCACAGAGTTTAACCTTTCTTTTGATTGAGCAGTTTTGAAACACTCTTTTTGTAGAATCTGAAAGTGGATATTTCGAGCGCTTTGAGGAGTATGGTGGAAAAGGAAATATCTTCACATAAAAACTAGACAGAAGCATTCTGAGAAACTTCTTTCTGATGTGTGCATTCAACTCACAGAGTTGAAAATTTATTTTTATTGAGCTGTTTGGAAACACTCTTTTTGTAGTATCTGTAGGGGATATTTGGAGTACTTTGAGGCCTATAGCTGAAAAGGAAATATGCTCAAATAAAAACCAGACAAAAGCATTATGAGAAACTTATTTGTGATGTGTGCATTCATCTCACAGAGTTGAACCTTTTTTTGATAGAGCAGTTTTGAAACACTCTTTTGTACTATCAGTAGGGGACATTTGGAGTGCTTTGAGGCTTATGGTTGAAAAGGAAATATCTTCATATAAAAACAAGACAGAAGGATTCTCAGAAATTTCTTTGGGATGTGTGCATTCAAATGCCAGAGTTGAAACTTTCTTTTTATTCAGCAGTTTTCAAACCCTCTTTTTATAAGATTTGCAAGTGGATATTTGGAGCGCTTTGAGGCCTACGGTGGAAAAGGAAATATCTTCACATAAAAACTACACAGAAGCATTCTCAGAAGCTTCTTTGTGAAGTGTGCATTCAATTCACAGAGTTGCCCCTTTCTTTTGATTGAGCAATTCGGAAACACTCTTTTTGTAATATCTGCAAACGGATATTTGGAGCACATTGCGACCTATGGTGTAAAAGGAAATATCTTCACATAAAAACTACACAGAAGCATTCTGAGAAACTTTTTTGTGGTGTGTGCATTCGTCTCACAGAGTTGAACCTTTCTTTTGATTAAGCAGTTTTGAAACACTCTTTTTGTAGATTCTGCAATTGGATATTTGGAGCTCTTTGTGGCCTATGGTGAAAAAGGAAATATCTTCACATAAAAACTAGAAAGAAGCATTCTCAGAAACTTCTTTATGATGTGTGCATTCAACTCACAGAATTGGACTTTTCTTTTGATAGAGCAGTTTGGAAACACTCTTTTTGTAGTAACTGCAAATGGATATTTGGAGGGCTTGGAGGCCTATGGTCAAAAGGAAATATCTTCACATAAAGCTAGACAGAAGTATTCTGAGAAACTTCTTTGTGATGTTTCTATTCAACTCACAGAGCTGAACCACTGTTTTGATGGAGCAGTTTGGAAACAATCGTTTTGTAGCATGTGCAAATGAATTTTTGGAGTGCTTTGGGGCCTTTAGCTGAAAAGGAAATATCTTCCCATAAAAACTAGACCGAAGCATTCTGAAAAACTTCTCTGTGATATGTGTATGCAACTCACAGAGTTGAACCTTCCTTTTGATTGACTAGTTTGGAAACACTTTTTTTGTGGAATCTGCAAGTGAATATTTGGAGTGCTTTGAGGCCATTGGTGGAAAAGGAAATATCTTCACAAAAGAAGTAGACAGAAGCATTCTCAGAAACCACTTTGTCATGTGGATATTCACCTCACAGAGTTGAACATTTCCTTTGATTGAGCAGTTTGTAAATAGTCTTTTTGTAGTATCTGCAAATGGATATTTGGAACGCTTTGGGGCCTATAGCTGAAAAGGAAATATCTTCACATAAAGTCTACACAGAGGCATTCTGAGAAACTTCTTTGTGTTGTGTGCATTCATCTCACAGAGTTGAAACTTTCTTTTGATGGAACAGTTTTGAAACACGCTTTCTGTAGAATCTGCAAGTGGATATTTGGAGTGCTTTGAGGCCTATAGTGGAACAGGAAATATCTCACATAAAAACTAAGCAGAAGTATTCTCAGAAACTTCTTTGTGATATGTGCATTCAACTCACAAAGTTGAACCTTTATTTTGATTGAGCAGTTTGGAAACACTCTTTTTGTAGTATCTGCAAATGGATATTTGGAGTGCTTTGAGGCCTTTAGCTGAAAAGGAAATATCTTCACATAAAAACTAGACAGAAGCATTCTGAGAAACTTCTTTGTGATGTGTGCATTCATCTCATAGAGTCGAACCTTTCTTTTCATTGAGCAGTTTTGAAATGCTATTTTTGTAGAATCTGCAAGTGGATATTTGAGGAGTTTTGAGGCCTATGGTGGAAAAGGAAATATCTTCACATGAAAATTAGACAGAAGTGGTGTCAGAAACTTCTTTGTGATGTGTGCATTGAACTCACAGAGTTGAACCTTTCTCTTGATTGAGCAGTTTGGAAACACTCTTTTTGTAGTATTTGCAAGTGGATATTTGGAGCTCTTTGAAACCTATGGAGGAAAAGGAAATATCTTCACGTAAAAACTAGCCATAAGCATTCTGAGAAACTTCTTTGATATCTGTGAATTCAACTCACAGGTTTGAAACTTTCTTTTCTTTGAGCAGTCTTCAAACACTCTTTTTGTAAAATATGCATGTGCATATTTGGAGCTCTTGCAGCCTCTACTGGAAAAGAAAATATCTTCGCATAAAAACTAGACAGAAGCATTCTCAGAAATTCCTTTGTGATGTGTGCATTAATCTCACAGAGTTGAACGTTTCTTTTGACTGAGCAGTTTTGAAACACTCTTTTTGTAGAATCTGCAACTGGATATTTGGAGTGCTTTGAGGCCAATGATGGAAAAAGAAACGTCTTCACATAAGAAATTGACAGAAACATTCCCAGAAATTTCTTTGTGATGTGTGCATTCAACTCACAGAATTAAACTTTTCTTTTGATTGAGCAGTTTTGGAAACACTCTTTTTGTGGTATCTGCAAATGGTTATTTGGAGTGCTTTGTGGCCTATAGCTGATAAAGAAATATCTTTACACAAAAACTAAACAGAAGCATTCTGGGAAACTTCTTTGTGATGTGTGCATTCACCTCACAGAGGTGAAACTTTCTTTTGATTGAGCAGTTTTGAAACACTCTTTTTGTAGAACTGGCAACTGGATATTTTTAGCGCTTGGAGGCCTATGGTGGAAAAGGAAATTTCTTCACAGAAAAGCTAGACAGAAGCGTTCTCAGAAACATCACTGTGATGTGTGCATTCAACTCACAGAGTTGAAACTTTGTTTTGATTAACTGTGTGGAAATACTCTTTTTGTAGTAACTGCAAATGGGTATTTGAAGCACTTTGAGTCCAATTGCTGTAAAGGAAATATCTTCACATAAAAACTAGACAGAAACATTCTGAGAAACTTCTTTGTGATGTGTCCATTCATGTCACAGAGTTGAACTTTTCTTTTGATTGAACAGTTTTGAAATACTCTTTTTGTAGAATCTGCAAATGGATATTTTTAGCACTTACCTCCTCCAGTGGAAAAGGAAATAACTTCACATAAAAACTGGACAGATATGTGGTTGGAGCCAAGATGGCCGAATAGGAACAGCTCTGGTCTACAAACAGCTCTGGTCCCAGTGTGAGGGGTGCAGAAGTCGGATGATATCTGCATTTCCATCTGAGGTACCGGGTTCATCTCACTATGGATGGCCAGACACTGGGCACAGGACAGTGGGTGCAGTGCACCATGCATGAGCGGAAGAATGGTGAAGCATTGCCTCACTCAGGAAGCACAAGGGGTCAGGGAGTTCCCTTCCCTAGTGAAAGAAAGGGGTAACAGATGGCACTTGGAAAATTGTGTCACTCCCACCATAATACTGTGTTTTTCTGAAGTGCTTAAAATACTTCACACCAGGAGATTCTATGCCACACCTAGCTTGGAGGGTCCTACACCCACGGAGTCTCGCTGATTTCTAGCACAGCAGTCTGAGATCAAACTGCAAGGCAGCAGCGAGGCTGGGGGAGGGACGCCCGCAACTGCCCAGGCTTGCTTAGGTACACAAAGCAGCCAGGAAGCTCCAACTGGGTGGAGACCACCACAGCTCAAAGACGCCTGCCTGCCTCTGTAGGCTCCACCTCTGGGGGCAGGGCACACACAAACAAAAAGACAGCAGTAACCTCTGCAGATTTAAATGTCCCTGTCTGACAGATTTGAAGAGATCAGTAGTTCTGCAAGCATGCAGCTGGAGATCTGAGAATGGGCAGGCTGACTCCTCAAATGGGTCCCTGATCCCTGATCCCCAAGCAGCCTAACTGGGAGGCACCCCTCAGTAGGGGCCAATGGACACCTCACACGGCTGGGTACTCCTCTGAGAAAAACTTCCAGAGGAACGATCAGACAGCAGCATTCATGATTCAAAAAAATCCACTATTCTGCAGCCACCGCTGCTGTTACCCAGGGAAACAGCGTCTGGAGTGGACCTCTAGCAAACTCCAACTGACCTACAGCTGAGGGTCCTGACGGTTAAAAGGAAAACTAACAAACAGAAAGGACATCCATAGCAAAATCCCACCTGTACATCACCATCATCATAGAACAAAAGTAGATAAAACCACAAAGATGGGGAAAAAACAGAGCAGAAAAACTGGAAACTCTATAAAGCAGACCACCTCTTCTCCTCCAAAGGAACGCAGATTATCATCAGAAACAGAACAAAGCTGGATGGAGAATGACTTTGATGAGTTGGGAGAAGAAGGCTTCAGACGATCAAACTAATCTGAGCTACAGGAGGAAATTCAAACCAAAGGCAAAGAAGTTGAAATCCCTGAAAAAAATTTAGACGACTGTATAACTAGAATAACCAATACAGAGAAGAGCTTAAAGGAGCTGATGGGGCTGAAAACCAAGGCTCGACAACTACATGAGAAATGAAGAAGCCTCAGGAGCTGATGAGATCAACTGGAAGAAAGGGTACGAATGATGCAAGACAAAATGAATGAAATGAAGTGAGAAGGGAAGTTAAGAGAAAAAGGAATAAAAAGAAATGAACAAAACCTCCAAGAAATATGGGACTATGAGAAAAGACAAAATCTACGTCTGATTGGTGTACCTCAAAGTGATGGGAAGAATGGAACCAAGTGGGAAAACACTCTGCAGGATATTATCCAGGAGAACTTCCCCAATTTAGCAAGGCAGACCAACATTCAGATTCAGGAAATAAAGAGAACGCCACAAAGATACTCCTCAAGAAGAGCAACTCCAAGACACATAATTGTCAGATACACCAAAGTTGAAATTAAGGAAAAAATGTTAAGGTCAGTGAGAGAGAAAGGTTGGGTTACCCACAAAGGGATGCCCATCAGACTAACAGCAGATCTCTTGGCAGAAACTCTACAAGCCACAAGAGAGTGAGGGCCAATATTCAACATTCTTAAAGAAAAGAATTTTCAACCCAGAATTTCATATCCAGCCAAACTAAGCTTCATAAGGGAAGGAGAAATAAAATACTTTGCAGACAAGCAAATGCTGAGAGATTTTGTCACCACCAGGCCTGCCCTAAAAGAGCTCCTGAAGGAAGCACTAAACATGGAAAGGAACAACCGGTGCCAGCCACTGCAAAATCATGCCAAATTGTAAAGACCACCACAGCTAGGAAGAAACTGCATCAACTAACGAGCCAAATAACCAGCTAACATCATAATGACAGGATCAAATTCACACTTAACAATATTAACTTTAAATGTAAATGGACTAAATGCTCCAATTAAAAGACACGGACTGGCAAATTGGATAAAGAGTCAAGACCCATCAGTGTGCTGTATTCAGGAAACCCATCTCACGTGCAGAGACACACATAGGCTCAAAATAACAGGATGGAGGAAGATCTACCAAGCAAATGGAAAACAAAAAAAGGCAGGGGTTGCAATCCTAGTCTCTGATAAAACAGACTTTAATCAACAAAGATCAAAGGAGACAAAGCAGGCCATTACATAACGGTAAAGGGACCAATTCAACAAGAAGAGCTAACTATCCTAAACACATATGCACCCAATACAGGAGGAGCCAGATTCATAAAGCAAGTCCTGAGTGACCTACAAAGAGACTTAGACTCCAACACAATAATAACGGGATACCTTAATACCCCACTGTCAACATTAGACAGATCAATGAGACAGAAAGTTAACAAGGATGCCCAGGAATTGAACTCAGCTCTGCACCAAGAGGAACTAATAGACATCTACAGAACTCTCTACCCCAAATCAACAGAATATACATTTTTTTTCAGCACCACACCACAACTAGTCCAAAATTGACCACATAGTTGGAAGTAAAGCTCTGCTCAACAAAAGTAAAAGAAGAGAAAATATAACAAACTGTCTCTCAGACCACAGTGCAATCAAACTAGAACTCAGGATTAAGAAACTCACTCAAACCACTCAACTACATGGAAACTCAATAACCTGCTCCTCAATGACTACTGGGTACATAATGAAATGAAGGCAGAAATAAAGATGTTCTTTGAAACCAACGAGAACAAAGACACAATGTACCAGAATCTCTGGGACACATTCAAAGCAGTGTGTAGAGGGAAATTTATAGCGCTAAGTGCCCATAAAAGAAAGCAGGAAAGTTCCAAAATTGACATCCTAACATCACAATTAAAAGAACTAGAAAAGCAAGAGCAAATACATTCAAAAGCCAGCAGAAGGCAAGAAATAACTAAAATCAGAGCAGAACTGAAGGAAATAGAGACACAAAAAAACCTCCAGAAAATTAATGAATCCAGGATCTGCTTTTTGAAAACATCAACAAAATTGAAAGACTGCTAGCAAGACTAATAAAGAAGAAAAGAGAGAAGAATCAAAAAGATGCAATAAAAAATGATAAAGGGGATATCACCACCGATCCCACAGAAATAAAAACTACCATCAGAGAATACTACAAACACTTCTATGCAAATAAACTAGAAAATCTAGAAGAAATGGATAAATCCCTCGACACATACATCCTCCCAAGACTAAACCAGGAAGAAGTTGAATCTCTGAATAGACCAACAACAGGATCTGAAATTGTGGCAATAATCAATAGCTTTACCAATCAAAAAGAGTCCATGACCAGATGCTTTCACAGCCAAATTCTACCAGAGGTACAAGGAGGAACTGGTACCATTCCTTCTGAAACTATTCCAATCAACAGAAAAAGAGGGAATCTTCTGTAACTCATTTTATGAGTTATCAGGTTGGTATCAGTCAACCTGATACCAAAGACAGGCAGAGACACAACCAAAAAAGAGAATTTTAGACCAATATCCTTGATGAACATTGATTCAAAAATCCTCAATAAAATACTGGAAAACGAAATCCAGCAGCACATCAAAAAGCTTATCCACCATGATCAAGTGAGCTTCAACCCTGGGATGCAAGGCTGGTTCAATATATGCAAATTAATAAATGTAATCCAGCATATAAACAGAACCAAACACAAAAACCACATGATTATCTTAATAGATGCAATAAAGGCCTTTGACAAAATTCAACAACCTTCATGCAAAAAACTCTCAATAAATTAGGAATTGATGGGATGTATCTCAAAATAATAAGAGCCATCTATGACAAACCCACAGCCAATATCATACTGAATGGTCAAAAACTGGAAGCATTCACTTTGAAAATTGACACAACACAGGGATGCCCTCTCTCACCACTCCTATTCAACATAGTGTTGGAAGTTCTGGCCAGGACAATTAGGCAGGAGAAGGAAATAAAGGGTATTCAATTAGGAAAAGAGGAAGTCAAATGGCCCCTGTTTGCAGATAACATGATTGTATATATAGAAAACCCCATTGTCTCAGCCCAAAATCTCCTTAAGCTTATAAGCAACCTCAGCAAAGTCTCAGGAAACAATATCAATGTACAAAAATCACAAACATTCTTGTACACCAATAACAGACAAACAGAGAGCCAAATCATGAGTGAACTCCCATTCACAATTGCTTCAAAGAGAATAAAATACCTAGGAATCCCACTTTCAAGGGACATGAAGGACCTATTCAAGGAGGACGGCAAATCACTGCCCAATGAAATAAAAGAGGATACAAAGAAATGGAAGAACATTCCATGCTCACGGGTAGGAAGAATCAATATCGTGAAAATGGCCATACCGCCCAAGGTAATTTATAGATTCAATGCCATCCCCATCAAAATACAAATGACTTTCTTCACAGAATTGGAAAAAACTACTTTAAAGTTCATATGGCACCAAAAAAGAGCCCGCATCATCAAGGCAATCCTAAGCCAAAAGAACAAAGCTGGAGGCATCACGCTACCTGACTTCAAACTATACTACAAGGCTACAGTAAGCAAAACAGCATGGTGCTGGTACCAAAACAGAGATATAGATCAATGGAACAGAACAGAGACCTCAGAAATAACGCCACATATCTACAACTATGTGATCTTTGACAAACCTGAGAAAAACAAGCAATGGGGTAAGGATGCCCTATTTAATAAATGGTGCTGGGAAAACTGGCTAGCCATAAGTAGAAAGCTGAAACTGGGTCCCTTCCCTACACCTTATACAAAAATTAATTCAAGATGGATTAAAGACTTAAACGTTAGACCTAAAACCATAAAAACCCTAGAAGAAAACCTTAGCATTACCATTCAGGACATAGGCATGTCCAAGGACTTCATGACTAAAACACCAAATGCAATAGCAACAAAAGCCACAATAGACAAATGGGATCTAATTAAACTAAGGCGCTTCTGCACTGCAAAAGAAACTACCATCACAGTGAACAGGCAACCTACCAAATGGGAGAAAATTTTTGCAACCTACTCATCTGACAAAGGGCTAATATCCAGAATCTACAATGAACTCAAACAACTTCACAAGAAAAAAACAAACAACCCTATCAAAAAGTGGGTGAAGGTCATGAACAGACACTTCTCAAAAGAAGACATTGATGCAGCCAAAAAGCAGTGAAAAAATACTCACTGTCACTGGCTATCAGAGAAATGCAAATCAAAACCACAATGAGATAGCATCTCACACCAGTTAGAATGGCAATCATTAAAAAGTCAGGAAACAACAGGTGCTGGAGAGGATGTGGAAAAATAGGAACACTTTTACACTGTTGGTGGGACTGTAAACTATTTCAATCATTGTGGAAGTCAGTGTGGCGATTCTTCAGGGATCTAGAACTAGAAATACCACTTTTGACCCAGCCATCCCATTACTGTTTATATACCCAAAGGCCTATAAATCATGCTGTTATAAAGACAAATGCCCACGTATGTTTATTGCGACACTGTTCACAATAGCAAAGACTTGGATCCAACCCAAATGTCCAACAATGATAGATTGGATTAAGAAAATGTGGCACATATACACCATGGAATACTATGCAGACATAACAAATGATGAGTTCATGTCCTTTACAGGGACATGGATGAAATTAGAAATCATCATTCTCAGTATACTAGCACAATAACAAAAAACCAAACAATACATATTCTCACTCATAGGTAGGAATTGAACAATGAGAAGACATGGACACAGGAAGGGGAACATCAAACTCTGGGGACTGTCGTGGTGTGAGGGGAAGGGGGAGGGATAGCTTCAGGAGATATACCTAATGCTAAATGATGAGATAATGGGTGCAGCACACCAGCATGTCACATGTATACATATGGAACAAAACCTGCACATTGTGCACATGTACCCTAAAACTTAAAGTATAATAATAATAAAATTTAAAAAAATGAAAAATAAAAACTAGAGAGAAGCATTCTGCGAAACTTCCTTGTGATGTGTGCATTCAACTCACAGAGTTGAACCTTTCTTTTGATTGAGCAGTTTTGAAAATCTCTTTTTGCAGGATCTGCAAGTGGATATTTGCAGAGCTTTGAGGCCTGTGGTTGAAAGGAAATGTGTTCACGTAAAAACTAGACAGAAGAATTCTCAGAAACTTCTTTGTGATGTGTGATTCCACTCACAGAGTTGGACATTTCTTTTGATTCAGCAGTTTGGAAACACTCTTTTTGTAGAATCTACAAGTGGATATTTGGAGTGCTATGAGGCCTATGGGGGAAAAGCAAATATCTTCACATAAAAACTAAACAGAACAATTCGGAAAAACTTCTTCATGATGTGCGCATTTATGTCACAGTGTTGAATATTTCTTTTGATTGAGCAGTTTTCAAACACTCTTTGTTGAGGATATGCCATTGGATAATAGGAGGGATTGGAGGCCTATGGAGGAAAAGGAAATATCTTCACAAAAAAACTAGACAGAAGCATTCTCAGAAACTTCTATGGGATGTGTCCATTCAACTCACAGAGTTGAATATTTCTTTTGATTGAGCAGTTTGGAAACCCTCTTTTTGTAGTATCTACAAATGGATATTTGGAGCCCTTTGAGGCATATAGCTGAAAATGAAATATCTTCACATAAAAACTAGACAGAAGCTTTCTGAGAAACTTCTTTGGGATGTGTGCATTCATCTCACAGAGTTGAACCTTTCTTTGAGCAGTTTTGAAACACCGTTTTTGTAGAATCTGCAAGTGGATATTTGGAGCACATTTAGGGCTATGGTGGAAAAGGAAATATCTTCACATAAAAACTAGACAGAAGCATTCTCAGAAACTTCTTTGTGATGTGTGCATTCAACTCACAGAGCTGAATCATTCTTTGATTGAGCAGTTTGGAAACACTCTTTTTGTAGTATCTGAAAGGGATATTTGAAGCACTTTGAGGTCTATAGCTTAAAAGGAAATATCTTTACATAAAAACTAGACAGAAGCATTCTCAGACACTTCTTTGTGATGTGTGGATTCATATCACAGAGTTCAACCTTTCTTTTGATTGAGCAGTTTTGATATACTCTTTTTGCAGGATCTGCAAATGGATATTTGGAGTGCTTTGAGGCCTATGGTGGTAAAGGAAATTTCTTCACGTACAAACTAGACAGAAGCATTCTCAGAAACTTCTTTGTGATGTGTGCATTCAACTCACAGAGTTGAATCTTTCTTTTGATTGAGCAGTTTGGAAACACTCTGTTTTTAGTAACTGCAAGTGGATATTTGGAGTGCATAGAGGCTTATAGCTGAAAAAGAAATATTTTCATATAAAAACTAGACAGTAGCATTCTGAGAAACTTCTTTGTGATCTTTATTCATCTCACAGATTTGAAACTTTCTTTTGGTTGAACAGCTTTGAAACACTCTTTTGAAATATCTGCAAGTGGATATAATGAAAGCTTTGAGGTGTACGGTGGAAAAGGAAATACCTTCACATAAAAACCAGATGGAAGGATTTTCAGAAACTTCTTTGTGATGTGTGCATTCAATTCACAGAGTTGAACCTTTCTTTTGATTGAGCAGTTTGGAAGCACTCTTTTTGTAGAAACTGCAAGTGGATATTTGGAGAGCTTTGTGGCCTATGGTAGAAAAGGAAATATCTTCAACTAATATCTACACAAAAGCCTTCTCAGAAACTTCTGTGTGACGTGTGCATTCAACTCACAGAGTAGAAACTTTCTTTTGATTGAGAAGGTTGGAAACACTCATTTTGTAGTATCTGCAAATTGATATTTGGAGTGCTTTGAGGCTTATAGCTGAAAAGGAAATATCTTCACATAAAAACTAGAAAGAAGCATTCTGAGGAACTTCTTTGTGATGTGTGTATTCATCTCACAGAGTTGAACCTTTCTTTTGATTGAGCAGTTTTGAAACACTCTATTTGCAGATTCTGCAAGTGGATATTTGGAACGCTTTGAGACCTAGGGTTGAAAAGGAAATATCTTCACATAAAAACTGGACAGAAGCATTCTGAGGAACTTCTCTGTGATGTGTCCATTCAACTTACAGAGTTGAAACTTTCTTTTGATTGAGCAGTTTTGAAACTCTCTTTTTGTAGAATCTGAAAGTGGATATTTGGAGCGATTTCATCCTCTACTGGAAAAGGAAATATCTTCACATACAAATTAGACAGAAGCATTCTGAGAAACTTCTTTGTGATGTTTGAATTCATCTCACAGTGTTGAACTTTACTTTTAATTGAGCAGTTTTGAAAAACTATTTTTGCAGAATCTGCAAGTGGATATTTGGAGGGTTTTGTGGCCTATGGTGGAAAAGGAAATATCTTCACATAAAAACTAGACAGAAGCATTCAGAGAAACTTCTTTGAGATGTGTGCATTCACCTCACAGAGGTGAACATTTCCTTTGTATGAGCAGTTTTGAAACACTCTTTTTGTAGAGTCTGCAAGTGGCTATTTGGAGCGTTTTCAGTCCTATGGTGGAAAATTAAATATCTTCACGTATAAACTAGACAGAAACATTCGAGAAACTTCTTTGTGATGTCTGCATTCATTTCACAGAGTTGAACATTTCTTTTGATTGAGCAGTTTTCTTTTTTTTATTTTTTTTGTTTTATTATTATTACACTTTAAGTTTCAGTGTATATGTGCACAATGTGCAGGTTAGCTACATATGTATACATGTGCCATGCTGGTGTGCTGCACCCATTATCTCATCATTTAGCATTAGGTATATCTCCTAATGCTATCCCTTCCCCCTCCCCCCAAACCCACGACAGTCCCCAGAGTGTGACGTTAGCCTTCCTGTGTCAATGTGTTCTCATTGTTCAATTCCCACCAATGAGTGAGAACATGCATTGTTTGGTTTTTTGTCCTTGCAATAGTTTACTGAGAATGATGATTTCCAATTTCATCCGTGTCCCTACAAAGGACATGAACTCATCATTTTTTACGGCTGCACTGTATTCCATGATGTATATGTGCCACATTTTCTTAATCCAGTCTATCATTGTTGGACATTTGGGTTGGTTCCAAGTCTTTGCTATTGTGAATACTACCACAATAATCATACGTGTGCATGTGACTTTACAGCAGCATGATTTATAGTCCTTTGGGTATATACCCTGTGATGGGATGGTTTGGTCAAATGGCATTTCTAGTTCTAGATCCCTGACTAAGGGAATCACCACACTGACTTCCACAACGGATGAACTAGTTTACATTCCCACCAACAGTGTAAAAATACTCCTGTTTTTCCACATCCTCTCCAGCACTTGTTGTTTCCTGACTTTTTAATGATTGTCATTCTAAATGGTGTGATATGGTATCTCATTGTGGTTTTGATTTGCATTTCTCTGATGGCCACTGATGGTGATCATTTTTTCATGTGTTTTTTGGCTGCATAAATGTCTTCTTTCAAGAGGTGTCTGTTCATGTCCTTTACCCACTTTTTGTTGGGGTTCTTTGTTTATTTCTTGTAAATTTGTTTGTGTTCATTGTGGATTCTGGATATTAGCCCTTTGTCAGATGAGCAGGTTGTGACAATTTTCTCTCATTTTGTAGGTTGCCTATTCTCTCTGATGGTAGTTTCTTTTGCTGTGCAGAAGCTCTTTAGTTTAATTAGATCCCATTTGTCAATTTTGGCTTTTGTTGCCATTGCTTTTGGTGTTTTAGACATGAAGTCCTTGCCCTGCCTATGTCTTGAATGGTAATGCCTAGGTTTCCATTTAGGGTTTTTATGGTATTAGATCTGACGCTTAAGTCTTTAATCCATCTTGAATTAATTTTTGTATAAGGTGTAAGGAAGGGATCCAGTTTCAGCTTTCTACTTATGGCTAGCCAGTTTTCCCAGCACCATTTATTAAATAGGGCATCCTTACCCCATTGCTTGTTTTTCTCAGGTTTGTCAAAGATCACATAGTTGTAGATATGTGGCATTATTTCTGAAGGCTCTGTTCTGTTCCATTGATCTATATCTCTGTTTTGCTACCAGCACCATGCTGTTTTGCTTACTGTAGCCTTGTAGTATAGTTTGAAGGCAGGTAGCGTGATGCCTCCAGCTTTGTTCTTTTGGCTTAGGATTGCCTTGGTGATGCAGGCTCTTTTTTGGTGCCATATGAACTTTAAAGTAGTTTTTTCCAATTCTGTGAAGAAAACCATTGGTAGTTTGATGGGGATGGCATTGAATCTATAAATTACCTTGGGCGGTATGGCCATTTTCACGATATTGATTCTTCCTACCCGTGAGCATGGAATGTTCTTCCATTTCTTTGTATCCTCTTTTATTTCATTGAGCAGTGGTTTGTAGTTCTCCTTGAAGAGGTCCTTCACATCCCTTGTAAGTTGGATTCCTAGGTATTTTATTCTCTTTGAAGCAATTATGAATGGGAGTTCACTCATGATTTGGCTCTCTGTTTGTCTGTTATTGGTGTATAAGAATGCTTGTGATTTTTGTACATTGATTTTGTATCCTGAGACTTTGCTGAAGTTGCTTATAAGCTTAAGGAGATTTTGGGCTGAGACAATGGGTTTTTCTAGATATATAATCATGTCATCTGCAAACAGCGACAATTTGACTTCCTCTTTTCTGAATTGAATATCCTTTATTTCCTTCTCCTGCCTAATTGCCCTGGCCAGAACTTCCAACACTATGTTGAATAGGAGTGGTGAGAGAGGGCATCCCTGTGTTGTGCCAGTTTTCAAAGTGAATGCTTCCAGTTTTTGACCATTCAGTATGATATTGGCTGTGGGTTTGTCATAGATAGCTCTTATTATTTTGAGATACATCCCATCAATACCTAATTTATTGAGAGTTTTTAGGATGAAGGGTTGTTGAATTTTGTCAAAGGCCTTTATTGCATCTATTGAGATAACCATGTGGTTTTTGTGTTTGGTTCTGTTTATATGCTGGATTACATTTTTAATTTGTGTATATTGAACCAGCCTTGCATCCCAGGGATGAAGCTCACTTGATCATGGTGGATAAGCTTTTTGATGTGCTGCTGGATTTCGTTTTCCAGTATTTTATTGAGGATTTTTGAATCAATGTTCATCAAGGATATTGGTCTAAAATTCTCTTTTTTGGTTGTGTCTCTGCCCGGCTTTGATATCAGAATGATGCTGGCCTCATAAAATGAGTTACGGAGGATTCCCTCTTTTTCTGTTGATTGGAATAGTTTCAGAAGGAATGGTATCAGTTCCTCCTTGTACCTCTGGTAGAATTTGGCTGTGAATGCATCTGGTCCTGAACTCTTTTTGATTGGTAAGCTATTGATTATTGCCACAATTTCAGATCCTGTTGTTGGTCTATTCAGAGATTCAACTTCTTCCTGGTTTTGTCTTGGGAGGATGTATGTGTCGAGGGATTTATCCATTTCTTTTAGATTTTCTAGTTTATTTGCATAGAAGTGTTTGTAGTATTCTCTGATGGTAGTTTTTATTTTTGTGGGATTAGTGGTGATACCCCTTTATCATTTTTTATTGCATCCTTTTGATTCTTCTCTCTTTTCTTCTTTATTAGTCTTGTTGGCAGTCTTTCAATTTTGTTGATCCTTTCAAAAACCAGATCCTGGATACATTAATTTTTTGGAGGGTTTTTTGTGTCTCTATTTCCTTCAGTTCTGCTCTGATTTTTGTTATTTCTTGCCTTCTGCTAGCTTTTGAATGTGTTTGCTCTTGCTTTTCTAGTTCTTTTAATTGTGATGTTATTGTGTTAATTTTGGATCTCTCCTGCTTACTCTTGTGGGCATTTAGTGCTGTAAATTTCCCTCTACCCACTGCTTTGAATGTGTCCCAGAGAATCTGGTATGTTGTGACTTTGTTCTCGTTGGTTTCAAAGAACATCTTTATTTCTGCCTTCATTTCATTATGTGCCCAGTAGTCATTCAGGAGCAGGTTGTTCAGTTTCCATGTAGTTGAGCAGTTTTGAGTGAGTTTCTTAATCCTGAGTTCTAGTTTGATTGTACTGTGGTGTGATAGACAGTTTGTTATAATGTCTGAACTTTTACATTTGCTGAGGAGAGCTTTACTTCCAACTATGTGGTCAATTTTGGACTAGGTGTGGTGTGGTACTGAAAAAAAATGTATATTCTCTTGATTTGGGGTGGAGAGTTCTGTAGATGTCTATTAGGTGCAGTTGGTTCAGAGCTGAGTTCAATTCCTGGGTATCCTTGTTAACTTTCTGTCTTGTCGATCTGTCTAATGCTGACAGTGGGGTGTTAAATTCTCTCATTATTATTGTGTGGGAGTCTAAGTCTCTTTGTAGGTCACTCAGGACTTGCTTTATGTATCTGGGTGCTCCTGTATTGGGTGCATATATATTTAGGATAGTTCGCTCTTGTTGAGTTGATCCCTTTACCGTTATGTAACGGCCTTCTTTGTCTCCTTTGATCTTTGTTGGTTAAAGTCTGTTTTATCAGTGACTAGGATTGCAACCCCTGCCTTTTTTTGTTTTCCATTTGCTTGGTAGATCTTCCTCCATCCTGTTATTTTGAGCCTATGTGTGTCTCTGCACGTGAGATGGGTTTCCTGAATACAGCACACTGATGGGTCTTGATTGTTTATCCAATTTGCCAGTCTGTGTCTTTTAATTGGAGCATTTAGTCCATTTACTTTTAAAGTTAATATTGCTATGTGTGAATTTGATCCTGTCATTATCATATTAGCTGGTTATTTTGCTCGTTAGTTGATGCAGTTTCTTCCTAGCCATGGTGGTCTTTACAATTTGGCATGATTTTGCAGTGGCTGGTACCGGTTGTTCCTTTCCACATTTAGTGCTTCCTTCAGGAGCTCCTTTTGGGCAGGCATGGTATTGACAGATTCTCTCAGCATTTGCTTGTCTATAAAGTATTTTATTTCTCCTTCACTTATGAAGCTTAGTTTGGCTGGATATGAAATTCTGGGTTGAAAATTCTTTTCTTTAAGAATGTTGAATATTGGCCCCCACTCTCTTGTGGCTTGTAGAGTTTCTGCCAAGAGATCCACCTTTAGTCTGATGGGCTTCCCTTTGTGGGTAACCCGACCTTTCTCTCTGACTGCCCTTAACATTTTTTCCTTAATTTCAACTTTGGTGAATCTGACAATTATGTGTCTTGGAGTTGCTCTTCTCGAAGAGTATCTTTGTGGCATTCTCTGTATTTCCTGAATCTGAATGTTGGCCTGCCTTGCTAGATTGGGGAAGTTCTCCTGGATAGTATCCTGCAGAGTGTTTTCCAACTTGGTTCCATTCTCCCCGTCACTTTGAGGTACACTAATCAGACTTAGATTTTGTCTTTTCACATAGTCCCATATTTCTTGGATGTTTTGTTCATTTCTTTTTATTCTTTTTTCTCTTAACTTTCCTTCTCGCTTCATTTCATTCATTTCATCTTCCGTCACTGGTACCCTTTCTTCCCATTGATTACATCAGCTCCTGAGGCTTCTTCATTCTTCACGTAGTTCTCGAGCCTTGGCTTTCAGCTCCATCAGCTCCTTTAAGCACTTCCCTGTATTGGTTATTCTAGTTATACATTCGTCTAAATTTTTTTTCAGAGTTTTTAACTTCTTTGCCTTTGGTTTGAATTTCCTCCTGTAGCTCAGAGTAGTTTGATCATCTGAAGCCTTCTTCTCCCAGCTCGTCAAAGTCATTCTCCATCCAGCTTTGTTCCATTGCTGATGAGAAACTGCTTTCCTTTGGATGAGGAGAGGTGCCCTGCTTTATAGAGTTTCCAGTTTTTCTGCTCTGTTTTTCCTCATCTTGGTGGTTTTATCTACTTTTGGTCTTTGATGACGGTGATGTATGGATGGGTTTTTGGTGTTGATGTCCTTTCTGTTTGTTAGCTTTCCTTCTAACAGACAGGACCCTCAGCTGCAGGTCAGTTGGAGTTTGCTAGAGGTCCACTCCAGACCTGTTTGCCTGGGTAACAGCAGTGGTGGCTGCAGAACAGTGGATTTTTGTGAACTGCAAATGCTGCTGTCTGATCGTTCTTCTGGAACTTTTGTCTCAGAGGAGTACCCGGCCGAGTGAGGTGTCAGTCTGCCCCTACTGGGTGGTGCCTCCCAGTTAGGCTGCTTGGGGTTCAGGGGTCAGACACCAACTTGAGGAGGCAGCCTGCCCGTTCTCAGATCTCTAGCTGAATGCTGGGAGAACGACTGCTCTCTTCAAATCTGTCAGACAGGGACACTTAAGTCTGCAGAAGTCACTGCTGTCTTTCTGTTTGTGTGCGCCCTGCCCCCAGAGGTGGAGCCTACAGAGGAAGGCAGGAGTCCTTGTGCTGTGGTGGTCTCCACCCAGTTGGAGCTTCCTGGCTGCTTTGTGTACCTAAGCAAGCCTGGGCAATGGCATGCGTCCCTCCCCCAGCCTCGCTGCTGCCTTGAAGTTTGATCTCAGACTTCTGTGCTAGAAATCAGTGAGACTCCATGGGCGTAGGACCCTCTGAGCCAGATGTGGGATAGAATCTCCTGGTGCCAAGTATTTTAAGTGCATCAGAAAAGCGCAGTATTAGGGTGAGAGTGACCCAATTTTCCAGGTGCCGTCTGTTACCCCTTTCTTTGACTAAGAGAGGGAATTCCCTGACCCTTTGGACTTCCCAAGTAAAGCAATGCCTTGCCATGCTTCAGCTCGCACACGTTGCACCATGCACACTGTCCCATGCCGACTCTCTGGCAATCCATAGTCAGATGAACCCAGTACCTCAGACAGAAATGTAGAAATCATCCAACTTCGACATCTCCCACGCTGGGAGTTGTAGACCAGAGCTCCTCCTATTTGGTCATCTTGGCTCCAACCACCTTTCTGTCTAGTTTTTATGTGAAGTTATTTCCTTTTCCACTAGAGGAGGTAAGCGCTCCAAATATCCACTTGCAGATCCTACAAAAGGAGTGTTTCAAAACAGCTCATACAAAAGAAATGTTCAACTCTGTGAGGTGAATAAACACATCACAAAGAAGTTTCTCTGAATGCTTCTGTCTAGTTTTTATGTGAAGATATTTTCTTTACCACCACAGGCCTCAAAACGCTCTAAATATCCACTTGCAGAATCTACAAAAAAAGTGTTTCAAAACTGCTCAAATGAAAGAAAGGTTCAACTCTGTGAGATGAATTCACACATCACAAAGAAGTTTCTGAGAATTATTCTGTCTAGTTTTCATGTGAAGATATTTCCCTTCCAACATAGGCCTCAAAGTGCTCCAAATAACCATTTGCAGATTCTACCAAAAGAGTGTTTCAAAACTGTTCAATCAAAGGCAGGTTTCATCTCTGTGAGATGAATGCACACATCACAAACAAGTTTCTCAGAATGCTTCTGTCTAGTTTCTATGTGAAGATATTTCCTTTTCCACCATAGGCCACAAAGCACTCCAAATATCCATTTGCAGATACTTCAAAAAGTGTGTTTTCAAAATGCTCAATCAAAAGAAAGTTTCAACTTTGTTAGTTGCATGCACACATCTCAAAGAAGTTTCTGAGAATGATTCTGTCTAGTTTTTATATGAAGATATTTCCTTTTCCATAATGGGTCTCAAAGTGCTCCAAATATCCACTTGCAGATTCTACAAAAAGAGTGTTTCAAAAGTGCTCAATCAAAAGAATGGTTCACTTCTGTGAGATGAATGCACACATCACAAAGAAGTTTCTCAGAATGCTCCTGTTTAGCTTTTATGTGAAGATATTTCCTTTTCAGCTATAGGCCACAAAGCCTCCAAATATCCATTTGCAGTTACTACAAAAAGAGTGTTTCCAAACTGCTCAGTTAAAAGAAAGGTTCAACTATGTGAGTTGAATGCACACATCCCAAAGAAGTTTCTGAGAATGCTTCTTTCTAGTTTTTATGTGAAGATATTTCCTGTTCCACCATAGGCCTCGATGCGCTCCAAATATCCACTTGCAGATTCTCCAAAAGAGTGTTTCAAAACTGCTCAATCAAAAGAAAGATTCATCTCTGTGTGATGAATGAACACATCAAAAAGAGGTTTCTCAGAATGCTCTGTCCAGGTTTTATGTGAAGATATTTCCATTTCAGCTATAGGCCGAAAACCGCTCCAAATATCCATTTGCATTACTAAAAAAAGAGTGTTTCCAAACTGCTCAATCAAAAGAAAGTTTCAACTCTGTGAATTGAATACATGCATCACAAAGAAGTTTCTGGGAATGCTTTTGTCTAGTTTCTATGTGAAGATATTACCTTTTCCACCATTGACCTCAAAGGGCTCCAAATATCCACTTGCAGATTATACAAAGAGAGTGTTTGAAAACTACTCCATCAAAAGAAAGGTTCAAATCTGTGAGATGAAGGCACACATCACAATCAAGTTTCTCAGAATGCTTCTGTGTACTTTTTATGTGAAGATATTTCCTTTTCCATGATAGGGCTCAAAGCACTCCAAATATCCACTTACAGATACTACAAAAAGAGTGTTTCAAAACTGCTCAATCAAAAGAATGTTTCAACTCTGTGAGATGAATGCACACATCACAAAGAAGTTTCTCAGAATGCTTCTGTCTAGTTTTTATGCGAAGATACTTCCTATTCAGCTATAGGCCTGAAAGCGCTTCAAATACCGATTTGCAGATACTCCAAAAAGAGTGATTCCAAACTGCTCATTCAAAAGACAAGTTCAACTCTTTGAGTGGAAGGCAGCAACACAAAGAATTTTCTGAGAATTCTTCTGTATAGTTTTCATGTGAAGATATTTCCTTTTCCACCGTAGGCCTCAAGGTACTCCAAATATCCACTTACAGATACTACAAAAAGAGTGTTTCGAAACTGCTCGATCAAAAGAATGTTTCAACTCTGTGAGATGAATGCACACATCACAAAGAAGTTTCTCAGAATGCTTCTGTCTAGTTTTTATGCAAAGATACTTCCTTTTCAGCTATAGGCCTGAAAGCACTTCAAATACCCATTTGCAGATACTCCAAAAAGAATGTTTCCAAACTGCTTATTCAAAAGACAAGTTCAACTCTGTGAGTGGAAGACAACAACTCAAAGAAGTTTCTGAGAATTCTTCTGTATAGTTTTCATGTGAAGTTATTTCCTTTTCCACCGTAGGCCTCAAAGCGCTCCAAATATCCACTTGCAGATTCTACAAGAAGAGTGTTTCCAAACTGCTCAATCAAAAGAGAGGTTGAACCCAGTGAGGTGAATGCACACATCACCAAGCCATTTCTCACAATACTTCTGTCTAGTTTTTATGTGAAGATATTTCCTTTTCAGCTATGGACCCCAAAGTGATCCAATTATCCATTTGCAGATGCTACAAAAAGAGTGTTTACAAGTTGCTCAATCAAAAGAAAGGTTTAACTCTGTGAGTTGAATGCAAACATCCCAAAGAAGTTTCAGAGAATGCTTCTGTCTGGGTTTTATGTGAAGATATTTCCTGTTCCACTATTGGCCTCAAAGCGTTCCAAACATCCTCTTGCAGATCCAACAAAGAGAGTGTTTCAAAACTGGTCAATCAAAGACAGGTTTCAACACTGTGAGATGAATGCACACATCACAAAGACCTTTCTCAGAATGCTTCTGTCTAGTTTTTATTTGAAGATATTTCCTTTTCAGCTATCAGCCTCAAATCGCTCCAAATATCCATTTGCAGATACTACAAAAAGTGTGCTCTCAAACGGCTGAATCAAAAGAAAGGTACAACTCTCTGAGTTGAGTTGAATGCACACAACACAAAGAAGGTTCTGAGAATGCTTCTGTCTACTTTTTCTGTGAAGATATTTCCTTTTCTTCTATAGGCCCCATAGCGCTCTGAATATCCATTTCCAGGTACTACAAAAAGAGTGTTTCCAAACTACTCAATCAAAAGAAGGGTTCAACTCTGTGCCTTGAAAGCACACATCAATAAGTGGTTTCTGAGAATGTTTCTGTCTAGTTTTTATGTGAAGATATCTCCTTTTCCACTATAGGCCTAAAAGCACTCCAAATATCCACTTGCAGATTCTACAAAAAGAGTGTGACAAAACTGCTCAATCAAAAGAAAGGTTCAACTCTGTGAGATGAATTCACACATCACAAGCAGGTTTCTCAGAATGCTTCTCTCTAGTATTTATGTGAAGATATTTCCTTTTTCACCTTAGGCCTCAAGGCACTCCAATTATCCATTTGCAGATACTACAAAAAGAGTGTTTCCCAACTGCTCAAACAAAAGAAACATTCAACACTGTGAGATCAATGCGTACATCACAAAGAAGTTTCTCAGAATATTTCTGTCTAGTTTTTATGTGAAGGTGTTTCCTTTTCCACTATAGGCCACAAAGAGCTCCAAATATCCACTTGCAGATTTTACAAAAAGAGTGTTTCAATACTGCTCAATCAGAGGAAAGGTTCAACACTTTGAGATGAATGCACACATCTCAAAGAAGGGCTAATATCCAGAATCTACAATGAACTCAAACAAATTTACAAGAAAAAAACAAACAACCCCATCAAAAAGTGGGCGAAGGACATGAACAGACACTTCTCAAAAGAAGACATTTATGCAGCCAAAAAACACATGAAGAAATGCTCATCATCACTGGCCATCAGAGAAATGCAAATCAAAACCACTATGAGATATCATCTCACACCAGTTAGAATGGTAATCATTAAAAAGTCAGGAAACAACAGGTGCTGGAGAGGATGTGGAGAAATAGGAACACTTTTACACTGTTGGTGACACTGTAAACTAGTTCAACCATTGTGGAAGTCAGTGTGGCGATTCCTCAGGGATCTAGAACTAGAAATACCATTTGACCCAGCCATCCCATTACTGGGTATATACCCAAATGACTATAAATCATGCTGCTATAAAGACACATGCACACTTATGTTTATTGCGGCATTATTCACAATAGCAAAGACTTGGAACCAACCCAAATGTCCAACAACGATAGACTGGATTAAGAAAATGTGGCACATATACACCATGGAATACTATGCAGCCATAAAAAATGATGAGTTCATGTCCTTTGTAGGGACATGGATGAAATTGGAAACCATCATTCTCAGTAAACTATCGCAAGAACAAAAAACCAAAGACCGCATATTCTCACTCATAGGTGGGAATTGAACAATGAGATCACATGGACACAGGAAGGGGAATATCACACTCTGGGGACTGTGGTGGGTTCGGGGGAGGGGGGAGGGATAGCATTGGGAGATATACCTAATGCTAGATGACATGTTAGTGGGTGCAGCACACCAGCATGGCACATGTATACATATGTAACTAACCTGCACAATGTGCACAGGTACCCTAAAACTTGGAGTATAATAAAAAAAAAAATTAAAAAAAAAAAAAAGAAATTTCTCAGAATGCTTCTGTCTAGTTTTTAGGTGAAGATACTTCCTTTTCAGCTATAGGCCTCAAAGTGCTCCAAATATCCATTTGCAGATGCTACAAAAAAAGTATTTCCAAACTACGTAATCAAAGGAAAGGTTCAACTCTGTGAGTTAAATGTGTACATCACAAAGAAGCTTATCAGAATGTTTCTGTATAGTTTTTATGTGAAGATATTTCCTTTTCCAATGTAGTCCTCAAAGGGCTACAAATATCCATGTGCAGATACTACAAAAAGAGTGTTTCAAAACTGCTCAATCAAAAGAGAGGTTCAACTCCATGAGTTGAATTCACACATCACAAAGAAGTTTCTGAGAATGCTTCTGTGTAGTTTTTATGTGAAGATATTTCCTTTTCCACCATAGGCCTCAAAGCGCTCCAAGTATTCAACTGCAGATTCTACAAAAACAGTGTTTCAAAACTGCTCAATCAAAAGAAAGGATCCTCAGTGAGATGAATGCACACATCACAAAGAAGTTTCTCACAATGCTTCTGTCTAGCTTTTAGTGAAGATATTTCCTTTTCAGGTATATGCCAAGAAACGTTCCAAATATCCATTTGTAGTTACTAGAAAAAGAGTGTTTCCAAACTGCTCAATCAAAAGAAAGGTTCAACTCTGTGAGTTGAATGCACACATCACAAAGAAGTTTCTGAGAATGCTTTTGTCTAGTTTCTATGTGAAGATATTTCCTTTTCCACCACAGGATTCAAAACGCTCCAAATATCTGCTTGCAGATACTACAAAAAGAGTTTTGCAGAACTACTCAATGAAAAGAAAGGTTCAACTCTGTTGTGAATGAGCACATCCCAAAAAATTTCTGAGAATGCTTCTGTCTAGTTTTTATGTGAAGATATTTCCTTCTCCACCATAAGCCTCAAAGTGCTCCAAATATCCACTGGCAGATTCCACAAAAAGAGTCCCTAAAAACTGCTCTGTCAAAAGAAAGGTTCACCTCAATGAGATGAATGCACGCATCAGAAAGAAGTTTCTCAGAATGCGTCTATCTAGCTTTTATGTGAAGATATTTCCTTTTCAGCTATATGCCAAGAAGCGCTCCAAATATCCATTTGTAGTTACTACAAAAAGAGTGTTTCCAAACTGCTGAATCAAAAGAAAGGCTCAACTCTGTGAGTTGAATGCACACATCACAAAGAAGTTTCTGAGAATGATTCTGCCTAGTTTCTATGTGAAGATATTTCCTTTTCCACCACAGGCCTCAAAACGCTCCGGATATCCACTTGCAGATTCTACGAAAAGAGTTTTGCAAAACTGCTGAATGTAAGAAAGGTTCAACTTTGTGAGGTGAATGTGCACATCCCAAAGAAGTTTCTCAGAATTCTTCTGTCTAGTTTTTATGTGAAGATATTTCCTTTTTCCACCATAGGTCTCAAAGCTCCCCATGTATGCATGTGCAGATGGTACAAAAAGACCATTTCAAAACTACTCAATCAAAATAAATTTTCGAACCTGTGAGATGAATGCACGCATCACAAAAACTTTCTCAAAATATTTCTGTCGAGTTTTTATCTGAAGATATTTCCTTTTCCACCATAGTCCTGAAAGCACTCCAAATATCCACTTGCAGATTCTACAACACGAGTGTTTCAAAACTGCTCAATTGAAAGAAAGTTTCAACTCTGTGAGGTGAATGTACACATCACAAAGAAGTTTCTCAGAATGCTTCTGTCAAGTTTTTATGTGAAGATATTTCCTTTTCAGCTACAGGTGCCAAAGCACTCAAAAGATCCCTTTGCAGAGACTACAAAAAGGACGTTTCAAATCTTCTCAATCAAAAGAAAGTTTCAATACTGGGAGCTGAATGCACATATAACAAAGAAGTTTCTCAGAATGCTTCTGTGTAGTTTTTATGTGAAGATATTTCCTTTTCAGCTATAGGCCTCAAAGCGCTCCAAATATCCACTTGCAGATTCTACAAAAAGTGGGTTTCGAAACTGCTCAATCAAAAGAAATGTTCAACTCTGTGAGATGAATGCGCACATCACAAAGAAGTTCCTCAGAATGCTTCTTTCTAGTTTTTATGTGAAGATATTTCCTTTTCAGCTATAAGCCACAAAGCACTCCGAATATCCACTTACAGATTCTACAAAAAGAGTGTTTCTAAACCACTCAATCAAAAGACATTTTCAACTCTCTGAGAAGAATTCGCACATCACAAAGACGTTTCTCAGAATGCTTCTGTCTAGTTTTTATGTGAAGATATTTGCTTTCCCACTGCAGCCCTTAAAGT
Source organism: Homo sapiens (assembly GCF_000001405.40). Taxonomy (NCBI): domain Eukaryota; kingdom Metazoa; phylum Chordata; class Mammalia; order Primates; family Hominidae; genus Homo; species Homo sapiens. Next base: position 50,716,224 of record NC_000011.10, read on the forward strand.
GCTCCAAATATCCACTTGCAGATTCTAAAAATAGAGTGTTTCAAAACTTCTCAATCAAAAGAAGGATTCAGCTCTTTGAAATGAATGCACACATCACAAAGAAGTTTCTCAGAATGCTTCTGTCTTGTGTTTATGAGAAGATATTTCTTTTTCAGCTACAGGCCTCAATGTGCTCCTAATATTCATTTGCAGTTAGTACACAAAGAGTGTTTCCAAACTGCTCAATCAAAAGAAAAATTCAACCCTGTGAGATGAATGCACTCTTTACAAAGAAGTTTCTGAGAATGCTTCTGTCCAGTTTTTATGTGAAGATATTTCCTTTTCAACCATAGGCCTCAAAGCACTCTAAATATCCACTTTCAGATTCTGCAAAAAAAGTTTTTCAAAACATCTCAATCAATAGAAATTTCAACTCTGTGTGATGAATGCACACATCACAAAGAAGTTTATCTGAATGCTTCTGTCTAGTTGTTCATAAAGTTAATTCCCTTTCAGCTACAGGCCTCAATGCGATCCAAATATCCATTTGCAGATACTACAAAAGAGTGCTTCCAAACTGCTAACTAAAAAGAAAGGTTCAACTCGGTGAGTTGAATGCACACATCGCAAAGAATATTCTGAGAAGACTTCTGTCTAGTTTTTATTTGAAGATATTTCATTTTGCACCACAGACCTCAAAGAGCTCCAAATATACACTTGCAGATTCTATAAAAAGAGTGTTTCAAAACTGCTCAATCAAAAGAAAGGATCAACTCCGTCCGATGAATGAACACATTACAAAGAAGTTTCTGAGAATGATGTTGTCTTGATTTTAGTTGAAGATATTTCCTTTTCAGCTATAGGCCTCAAAGCGTTCCCAATATCCATTTGCAGGTACTACAAAGACTGTTTCCAAGCTGCTCAATCAAAAGAAAGGTTCAACTCCGTGAGTTGATTGCAAACATCACAAAGAAGATTCTGAGAATGCTTCTGTCTAGTTTTTATGTGAAGATATTTCCTTTTCCACCATACGTCTCAAAGCACTCCAAATATCCACTTGCAGATTCTACAAAAAGAGCGTTTCAAAACTGCTGAATCAAAAGAAAGTTTCAACACTGTGAGATGAATGCATACATTACAAAGAAGTTTCTCAGAATGCTTCTGTCTAGTTTTTATGTGAAGATATTTCTTTTTCAGCTATAGGCCTCAAAGTGCTCCAAATATTCATTTGCAGATACTTACAAAAAGAGTGTTTCCAAACTGCTCAATCAAAGGAAATGTTCAACTCTGTGAGTTGGATGCACACATCAGAAACAAGTTTCTGAGAATGCTTCTATCTAGTTTTAATTTGAAGATATTTCTTTTTCCACCATAGGCCTCAAAGCACTTCAAATATCCACTTTCAGATTCTACAAAAAGAGTGCTTCAAAATTGCTCAATCTAAAGAAAGGTTCAACTCTGTGAGATGAATGCATAAATCACAAAGAAGTTTCTCAGAATGCTTCTGTCTACTTTTTATGTGAAGATATTTCCTTTTCAGCTATAGACCTCAAAGCGCTCCAAATAGCCGTTTGCAGATATTACAAAAGGAGGTTTTCCAAACTGCTCAATCGAAAGAAATGTTGAACTCTGTGAGTTGAATGCACACATCCAAAGAAGTTTCTGAGAATGCTTCTGTCTATTTTTTATGTGAAGATGTTTCCTTTTCCACCATAGGACTCAAAGCATTCCATATATCCACTTGCAGATTCTAAAAAAAGAGTGTTTCAAAGCTGCTCCATCAAAAGAAATGTTCAGCTCCATGAGGTGAATGCACACATCACAAGTAGTGTCTCAGAATGCTTCTGTCTATTTACTATGGGAAGGTATTTCCTTTTCAGCAATAGGCCTCAAAGCACTCCAAATAGCTATTTGCAGATCCTTCAAAAAGGGTGTATCAAAGCTGCTCAATCAAAAGAAACGTTCAACTCCGTGAGTTGAATGCACACATCGCAAATAAGTTTCTGAGATTCCTTCTGTGTAGTTTTTATGTGAAGATATTCCTTTTTCCTCCTTAGGCCTCAGTGCACTCCGAATATCCACTTGCAGATTCTACAAAAAGAGTGTTTCAATACTGCTCAATCAACATAAAGGATCAACTCTGTGAGATGAATGCACACATCACAACGTAGTTTCTCAGAATGCTTCTGTCTAGTTTTTTGTGAAGATATTTCCTTTCAACCATAGGCCTCAAAGCCCTCCAAATATCCATTTGCAGATACGTCAAAAAGAGTTTTTCAAACTGCTCAATCAAAAGAAAGGTTCAACTCTGTGAGTTGAATGCACACATCACAAAGAGGTTTCTGAGAATACTTCTGGCTAGTTTTTATGTGAAGATATTTCCTTTTCCACCATAGGCCTCCAAGTGCTCTAATTATGCTCTGGCAGATTCTACAAAAATAGTGTTTCAAAACTCCTCAAAGAAAAGAAAGGTTCAACTCTGAGAGATGAATGCACACATCACAGAGAAGAAGTTTTTCAGAATGCTTCTGTCTAGTTTTTATGTGAAGGTTTTTCCTTTTCAATCATAAGTCTCCAAATATCCAAAAAGAGTGTTTGTTTCAAAACCACTCAATCATCAGAAAGGTTCAACTCTGTGAGATGAATGCTCACATCCCAAAGAAGTTTCTGACAACGCTTCTGTGTAGTTTTTATGTGAAGATATTTCCCTTTCCACCACAGGCCTTCACGTGCTCTAAATACCCATTTGCAGATACTACAGCAAGAGGGTTTCCAAACTGCTCAACCAAAAGAAAGGTTAAACTCTGTGAGTTGAATGTACACATCACAAAAAAAGTTTCTGAGAATGCTTCTGTCTAGTTATTATGTGAAGATATTTCCTTTTAAACCATAGGCTTCAAAGCGCTCTAAATATCCACATTCTGATTCTACAAAAAGAGTGTTTGCAAACTGCTCAATCAAAGAAATGGTTCAACTCAGTGAATTGAATGCACACATCACAAGGATGTTTCTCAGAATGCTTCTGTCCAGTTTTTATGTGAAGATATTTCCTTTTCCACCACAGGCCTCAAAGCGCTCCAAATTTCTCTTTGCAGATTCTACAAGAAGAGTGTTTCAAAACTTCTCAATCAAAAGAAAGCTTCAACTCTGTGAGACAAATGCACACATCACAAAGAAGTTTCTCAGAAGGCTTTTGTCTAGTTTTTATGTGAAGATATTTCCTTTTCCACCATTGTCCTCAAAGTGCTCCAAATGTCCACTTGCAGAGGCTACAAAAAGTTTCAAAAATACTCACTATAAAGGAAGGTTCAACTCTGTGAGATGAATGCACAGATCGCAAAGAAGTTCCTCAGAATGCTTCTGTCAAGTTTTTATGTGAAGATATTTCCTTTTCAGCTATAGGTTTCAAAGCGCTCCAAATGTCCATTTGCAGATACTATAGAAGAGTGTTTCCAAACTGATCAATAAAAAAAAATGTTGAACTCTGTGACTTGAATGCACACTTCACCAAGGAGTTTTCTGAGATGGCTTCAGTCTAGTTTTCATGTGAAGATATTTCCTTTTCCACCGTAGGACACAATGCGCTCCAAATATCCACTTGCAGATTCTACAAAAAGAGTGTTTCCAAACTGAAAGAAACGGTTCAACTCTGTGAGTTGAATGCACACATCACAAAGATGTTTCTGAGTATGCTTCTGTCTACTTTTTATGAGAAGATATTTCATCTTCCACCACAGGTCTCAAAGCGCCCCAAATATCCACTTGCAGATTGTACAAAAAGAGCATTTCAAAACTGCTCCATCAGGAGAAAGGTTCAACTTTGTGAGATGAATGCACACATCCCAAAGAAGTTTCCAGAATGCCTCTGTGTACTTTACATGTGAAGATATTTCCTTTCGACCACAGGCCTCAAAGAGCTCCAAATATCCATTTGTTGATACTACAAAAAGAGTGTTTCCAAACTGCTCAATCCAAAGAAAGATTCAACTCTGTGAGTTGAATGCACACATCGCAAAGAAGTTTCTGAGAATGCCTCTGTCTAGTTTTTATATGAAGATATTACCTTTTCCACCATAGTTCTAAAAGCGCTCCAATTATCCACTTGCAGATTCTGCAAATGAGTTTTTCAAAACTGCTCAATCATCAGAATGGTTCAACTCTGTGAGGTGAATGCACATCTCAAAAAGAAGTTTCTCCTAATGTTTCTGTCTAGTTTTTAAGTGAAGATATTTCCTTTTCAGCTATACGATTCTAAGCGCTCCAAATATCCCTTTGCAGATATTTGAAAAAGAGAGTCCCCAAACTGCTCAATCAAAACAAAAGTTCAACTCTGTGAGTTGAATGCACACATCACAAAGAAGTTTCTGAGAATACTTCTGTCTAGTTTTTATGTGAAGGTATTTCCTTTTTCACCATAGGCCTCAAAGCACTACAAATATCCACCTGCAGATTTTACAAAACGAGTGTTTAAAGCTGCTCTATCAAAAGAAAGGTTCAACTCTCTGAGACAAATGCACACATCACAAAGAAGTTTCTCAGAATGCTTCTGTGCTGATTTTATGTGAAGAAATTTCCTTTCGACCATAGATCTCAAAGCACTCCAAATATCCATTTGCAGATATCACAAAAAGAATGTTTCCAAACTGTTCAATGAAAGGAAAGGTACAGCTCTGTGAGATGAATTCACACATCACAAAGACGTTTCTCAGAATGCTTCTGTCTAGTTTTTATGTGAAGATATTTCCTTTTCAGCTGTAGGCCTCAAAGCACTTCAAATATCCATTTGCAGATACTACAAAAACAGTTTTTCCAATCTGCTCAATCAATACAAAGGTTCAACTCTACGATTTCAATGCACATATCACAAACATGTTTGTGAGAATGCATCTGTCTAGTTTTTATGTGAAGAAATTTCCTTTTCCACCATAGGCCTCAAGCACTCCAAATATCCAGTTGTAGATTCTACAAAAAGAGTGTTTCAAAACTGCTCAATCAAAAGAAAGCTTCAACTCTGTGAAATGAATGCACACCTACAAAGAAGTTTCTTAGAATGCTTCTGTCTAGTTTTTATGTGAAGATATTTCCTTTTCAGCTATGGGCTTCATAGTGCTCACAAATCCATTTGCAGATACTACAAAAAGAGTGTTTCCAAATTACTCAATCAAACGAAAGGATCAACTCTGTGAGTTGAATGCTCGTTTCACATAGAATTTTATGAGAAGTGCTCTGTCTAGATTTTATGTGAAGATATTTCCTTTTCCTCCACAGGCCTCACAGTGACTCAAATATCCGCCAGCTGATTCTACAAAAAGAGCATTTCAAAACTGCACAATCAAAAGGAAGCTTCAACTCTGTGAGATGAATGTGCACATCACAAAGAAGTTTCTTAAAATGTTTCTGTTTAGTTTTTATGTGAAAATGTTTCCTTTTCCACTAAAGACCTCAAAGCACTGCACATATCCCCTTGCACATTCTGCAAAAAGAGTGTTTCAAAACTGCTCAATCAAAAAATATTTCAACTTTGTGAGATGAATGCCCACAACACGAAGTTTCTCAGAATACTTCTGTGTAGTTTTTATGTGAAGATATTTCCTTTTCCACATACAGACCTCAAAGCGCTCCAAATATCCATTTGCAGGTACTACAAAAAGAGTGTTTCAAAACTGCTCAACCAAAGGAAAGGTTCAACTCTGTGAGATGAATGCACACATCACAAATAAGTTTCACTGAATTTTTCTCTCTAGTTTTTATGTGAGGATATTTGCTTTTCAGCTATAGGCCTCAAAGCGCTCCAAATATCCATTTGCAGATACTACAAAAAGAGTATTTCCAAACTACTCTATCAAAAGAAAGGTTCAAAACTGTAAGTCGAAGGCATACATCCCAAATAAGTTTCTGAGAATTCTTCTGTCTAATTGTTATGTGAAGATATTTCATTTTCCGCCATAGGTCTCAAAACACCCCAAATAACCATTTGCGGATTTTACAAAAATAGTGTCTCAAATCTTCTCAATCAAAAGAAAAATTCAACTCTGTGAGATGAAGGCACACATCACAAAAAGTTTCTCACAATGCTTCTGTCTAGTTTTTATTTGGAGATATTTCCTTTTAAGCTATCGGTCTCAAAGCGCTCCAAATATCCATTTGCAGATACTACAAAAAGAATGTTTCTAAACTGTTCAATGAAAAGAAATGTTCAACTCTGTGAGTTGAATGCACACATCACAAATAAGTTTCTGAGAATACTTCTGTCTAGTTTTTATGAGAAGATAATTCCTTTTCCACCATAGGCCTCAAAGCACTCCAAATATCCATTTGCAGATACTATAAAAAGAGTGTTTCCAAACTGCTCAATCAAAAGAAGGTTTGAAATCTTTGAGTTGAATGCACACGTTACAAAGATGTTTCTGTGAATGCTTCCATTTATTATATGAATATATTTCCTTTTCCACCATAGGCCTCAAAGTGCTCCAAATATCCATTTGCAGATTCTACAAAAAGAGTGTTTCAAAACTGCTCAATCAAAGAAAGATTCACCTCTCTGAGGTGAATACTCACATCACAAAAAAGTTTCTCTTAATGCTTCTGTCTAGTTTTTATGTGAAGATATTTCCCTTTCAGCTATAGGTCTCTTAAGCACTCCAAATATCCATTTACAGTTACTGCAAAAAGAGTGTTTCCAAACTATTCAATCAAAAGAAAGTTTCAACTCTGTGAGTTGAATGCACACATCACAAAGAATATTATGAGAATGCTTCTGTCTAGTTTTCATGTGAAGGTATTTCTTTTTTTTAAACAATTCATTTTGTTTATTGTTGTGAAGATTACAATAGATAACACATGTAAGTCTTGCATATGTTATGTGCTCATTATATAGTGTTCCTCATTCTTTTTATTTTATTATTATACTTTAAGTTTTAGGGTACATGTGCACAATAGGCAGGTTAGTTACATTTGTATATATGTGCAATGCTTGTGTGCTGCAGCCGTTAACTCGTCCTTTAGCTTTACGTATATCTCCTATAGATATCCCTCCCCCCTCCACCCCCACCACAAATGTCCCCAGAATGTGATATTCCCCCTCATGTGTCCATGTGTTCTCATTGTTCAATTCCCACCTATGAGTGAGAATATGCGGTGTTTGGTTTTTTGTTCTTGCTGTAGTTTACTGAGAATGATGATTTCCAATTTCATCCATGTCCCTACAAAGGACATGAACTCATCATTTTTTATGGCTGCGTAGTATTCCATGGTGTATATGTGCCACATTTTCTTAATCCAGTCTATCATTATTGGACATTTGGGTTGGTTCCAAATCTTTGCTGTTGTGAATAGTGCCACAATAAACATACGAGTGCATGTGTCTTTACAGCAGCATGATTTATAGTCCTTTGGGTATATACACAGTAATGGGATGCCTGAGTCAAATGATATTTCTAGTTCTAGGAGCCACACTGACTTCCACAAGGGATGAACTAGTTTACTTCCTTCTGAAACTATTCCAATCAATAGGAAAAGAGGGAATCCTCCCTAACTCATTTTATGAGGCCAGCATCCTCCTGATATTAAAGAAAGGCAGAGATAAAATGAAAAAAGAGAATTTTAGACAAATATCCTTGAAGAACATTGATACAAAAATCCTCAATAAAATACTGGCAAATCGAGTCCAGCAGCACATCAAAAAGCTTATTCATCATGATCAATTTGGCTTCATTCCTGGGATGCAAGGCTGTTTCAATATACACAAATCAATAAATGAAATCCAGCATATAAACAGAACCAAAGACAAAAAACACATGATTATCTCAATAGATGCAGAAAAAGCTTTTGACAAAATTCAACAACCCTTCATGCTAAAAACTCTCAATCAATTAGGTATTGATGGAACGTATCTCAAAATAATAAGAGCTCTCTATGACAAACCCACAGCCAATATCATACTGAATGAGCAAAAACAGGAAGCATTCCCTTTGAAAACTGGCACAACACAGGGATGCCCTCTCTCACCATTCCTATTCAACATAATGTTGGAAGTTCTGGCAAGTGCAATTAGGCAGGAGAAGGAAATAAAGGATATTCAATTAGGAAAAGAGGAAGTCAAATTGTCCCTGTTTGCAGATGACATGATTGTATATCTAGAAAACCCCATCGTCTCAGCCCAAAATCTCCTTAAGCTTATAAGCAACTTCAGCAAAGTCTCAGGATACAAAATCAATGTACAAAAATCACCAGCATTCTTATACACCAATAACAGAAAAACAGTGAGCCAAATCATGAGTGAACTCCCATTCACAATTGCTTCAAAGAGAATAAAATACCTAGGAATCCAACTTACAAGGGATGTGAAGGACCTCTTCAAGGAGAACTACAAACCACTGCTCAAGGAAATAAAAGAGGGTACAAACAAATGGAAGAACATTCCATGCTCATGGGTAGGAAGAATCAATATCATGCAAATGGCCATACTGCCCAAGGTAATTTATAGATTCAATGCCATCCCCATCAAGCTACCAATGGTTTTCTTCACAGAATTGGAAAAAACTACTTTAAAGTTCATATGGAACCAAAAAAGAGCCCGCATCCCCAAGTCAATCCTAAGCCAAAAGAACAAAGCTGGAGGCATCATGCTACCTGCCTTCAAACTATACTACAAGGCTACAGTAACCAAGACACCATGGTACTGGTACCAAACAGAGATAGAGATCAATGGAACAGAACAGAAACCTCAGAAATAATGCCACATATCTACAACTATGTGATCTTTGACAAACCTGAGAAAAACAAGCAATGGGGAAAGGATGCCCTATTTAATAAATGGTGCTGGGAAAACTGGCTAGCCATATGTAGAAAGCTGAAACTGGATCCCTTCCTTACACCTTATACAAAAATTAATTCAAGATGGATTAAAGACTTAAACGTTAGACCTAAAACCATAAAAACCCTAGAAGAAAGCCAAGGCATCACCATTCAGGATAGAGGCATGGGCAAGGACTTCATGTCTAAAACAACAAAATCAATGGCACCAAAGCCAAAATTGACAAATGAGATCTAACTAAACTAAAGAGCTTCTGCACAGCAAAAGAAACTACCATCAGAGTGAACAGGCAACCTACAAAATGGGAGAAAATTTTCCCAACCTACTCATCTGACAAAGGGCTAATATCCAGAATCTACAATGAACCCAAACAAATTTACAAGAAAAAAACAAACAACACCATCAAAAAGTGGGCAAAGGACATGAACAGACACTTATCAAAAGAAGACATTTATGCACCCAATAAAATCATGAAAAAATGCTCACTATCACTGGCAATCAGAGAAATGCAAATCAAAACTACAATGACATACCATCTCACACCAGTTAGAATGACAATCATTAAAAAGTCAGGAAACAACATGTGCTGGAGAGGATGTGGAGAAATAGGAACACTATTACACTGTCGGTGGGACTGTAAACTAGTACATGTGAAGATATTTCCTTTTCCACCATAGGCCTCAAAGCGCTCCAAATATCCACCTGCAGATCCTACAAAAAGAATGCTTGAAAAATGCGCAATCAAAACAAACGTTCAACTCTGTGAGAAGAATGCACATATCACAAAGAAATTTCTCAGAATGCTTCTGTCTAGTTAATTTGTGAAGATATTTCATTTTCCACCATAGGCCTCAAAGCACTCCAAATATCCATTTACAGATACGACAAAAACAGTGTTTCCAAACTGCTCAATGAAAAGTAAGTTTTAACTCAGTGAGTTGAATGCGCACATCACTAAGAAGTTTCTGAGAAAGCTTCTGTCTAGTTTATATGGGGAGATATTACCTTTTCCACCATTGGCCTCAAAGCTCTCCAAATATCCACATGCAGATTTTACAAAAAGACTGTTTCAAAACTTCTCAGTCAAAAGAAAGGTTCAACTAAGTGAGTTGAATGCACTCATCACGAAGGAGTTACTGAGTATGCTTCCGTCTACTTCTATGTGATGATATTTCCTTTTCCACCGAAGGCCTCAAAGCCCTTAAAATGCCCACTTGCCGATCCTACAAAAAGAGTGTTTCAAAACTGCTCAATCAAAGGAAAGGTTCAACTCTGTGAGACAAATTCACACCTCACAAACAAGTTTCTCAGAATGCTTCTGTCCAGTTTTTATGTGAAGATATTTCCTTTTCAGCTATAGGCCTCAAAGCACCCAAAATATCCATTTGTACTTACTACACAAATATTGTTTCCAAACTGCTCAATCAAAAGAAAAGTTCAACTCTGAGAGTGAAATGCACACGTCACAAAGAAGTTTCTGAGAATGCTTCTGTCTAGTTTTTACGTGAAGTTATTTCCTTTTCCACCTTAGGCCACAAAGCGCTCCAAATATCCACTTGCAGAATCTACAAAAAGAGGGTTTCAAAACTTCTCAATCAACTGAAAGTTTCAACTGTGTGAGACGAATGCACACATCCCAAAGAAGTTTCTTAGAATGCTTCTCTCTAGTTTTTATGTGAAGATATTTACTTTTCAGCTTTGGCCTCAAAGGGCTTCAAATATCCATTTGCAGTTCCTACAAAAAGAGTGTTTCCAAACTGCTCAATCAAAAGAAAGGTTTAAATCTGTGAACTGAATGCACTCATCACAAGAAGCTTTTGAGAATGCTTCTGTCTAGTTTCTATGTGAAGATATTTCCTTTTAAAACACAGACTTCAAAGCACTCCAAATATCCACTTGCAGATTCTACAAAAAGAGTGTTTCAAAACGGCTCAGTCAAAAGAAACTTTCAACTCGGTGAGATCAATGTGCACATAAAAAATAAGTTTCTCAGAATGCTTATGTCTAGTTTTTATGTGAAGATATTTCCTTGTCCACCATAGGCATCAAAGTGCTCCAAATATTCACTTGCAGATTCTACAAAAAGAGTGTTTACAAACTGCACAATCAAAAGAAAGGTTCAATTCTGAGAGTTGAATGCACACATCAAAAAAGTTTCTGAGCATGCTTCCATCTAGTTTTTATGTGAAGATATTTCCTTTTACAACATAGGCCTCTAAGACCTCCAAATATACACCTGCAGATGCTACAAAAAGAGTGTTTCCAAACTGCTCAATCAAAAGAAAGGTTCAACTCTGTCAGTTGAATGCACACATCACAAAGATGTTTCTGATAATGCTTCTGTCTAGTTTATATGTGAAGATATTTCCTTTTCCACAATAGGCCTCAAAGTGCTCCAAAAAACCACTTACAGATTCTACAAAAACAGTGTTTCAAAACTTCTCAATCAAAAGAATGGTTCAGCACTGTGAGATGAATGCACACTTCACAAAGTATTTTCTCAGAATGCTTCTGTCTAGTTTTTATGGGAAGAAATTTCCTTTTCCTCCATAGGCCTTAAAGCACTCACAATATCCACTTGCAGATTCCACAAAAAGAGTGTATCAGGACTTCTCAATCAAAAGAATGGTTCAACTCTGTGAGATGAATGCACACATCCCAAAGAAGTTTCTCAGAATGCTTCGGTCTAATTTTTATGTGAAGGTACTTCCTTTTCAGCTATAGGACTCAAAGTGCTCCTAATATGCACTTGCGGTTACTACAAAAAGAGTGTCCCCAAACTGCTCAATCAAAACAAAGGCTCAACTCTGAGAGTTAAATGCACACATCACAAAGAAGTTTCTGAGAATGCTTCTGTCTAGTTTCTATGTGAAGATATTTATTTTCCAACATAGGCCTCAAAGCACTCCAAATATCCACTTGCAGATTCTACAAAAGGAGTGTTTCAAAACTGCTCAATCAAAAGAAAGGTTCAACTCTGTGAGTCGAATGCGCACATAAAAAGAAGTTTCTCAGAATGCTTCTGTCTAGTTTTTACTTGAAGATATTTCCTTTTCCACTGTAGGCCTCAAATCGCTCCAAATATCCACTCTCAGATTCTACAGAAAGAGTGTTTCCAAACTGCTCAATCAAAAGAAAGGTTCAAATCTGTCAGTTGAATGCAAACATCACAAAGTATTTTCTGAGAATTCTTCTGTCTAGTTTTTATGTGAAGATATTTCCTTTTCCACCAGAGGCTTCAAAGTGCTCCAAATATCCACCTGCAAATACTACAAAAAGAGGTTTGCAAAACTTCTCAATCAAAAGAAAGTTTCAACTCTGTGAGATGAAGGCACACTTCACAAAGAAGTTTCTGAGAATGCTTCTGTCTAGTTTTTATATGAGGATATTTCCTTTTCAGCCATAGGCCTGAAAGCGCTCAAAATATCCATTTGCAGTTACTACAAAAAGAGTGTTTCCAAACTGCTCAATCAAAAGAAATGCTCAACTCTGAGAGTTGAATGCACACGTCACAAAGAAGTTTCAGAGAATGCTTCTGTCTAGTTTTTATGTGAAGATATTTCCTTTTCCACCAATAGGCATCGAAGCACTCCAAATATCCATTTGCAGGTACTACAAAAAGAGTGTTTCCAAACTACTCAATGAAAAGATAATTTCAATACTTTATGTGAATGCTTCTGTCTAGTTTTCATGAGAAGATATTTCCTTTTCCACCACAGGCCTCCAAATATGCACTTGCAGATTCTACAAATACACTGTTTCAAAACTGCTGAATCAATAGAAACGTTCAACACTGTGAGATGAATGCACACATCACAAAGAAGTTTCTCAGAATGCTTCTGTCTAGTTTTTTTGTGAAGATATTTCCTTTTCCACCATTGGCCTCAAAGCACTCCAAATATCCACTTGCAGATTCAGCAAACTGTATCAAAATTGCTCAATCAAAAGAAAGTTTCAACTCTGTGAGATGAATGCACACATCACAAAGAAGTTTCTAAGAATGATTCTGTCTAGTTTTTATGTGAAGATATTTCCTTTTCAGCTATAGGACTCAAAGCACTCCAAATATCCATTTACAGATACTAGAAAAAGAGTGTTTCCAAACTGCTCACTCAAAAGAAAGGTTCAACTCTGTGAGTTGAAGGCACACATCCAAAGAAGTTTCTGGGAATGATTCTGTCTAGTTTTTATGTGAAGATATTTCCTCTTCCACTGTAGGCCTCAAAGCTCTCCAAATATCTACTGGTAGATTCTACAAAAAGTGTGTTTGAAAATTGCTCAATCAAAAGAAAAATTCAACTCTGTGAGACGAATTCACCAAGACAAAGAAGTTTCTCAGAATGCTTCCATCTACTTTCCATGTGAAGATATTTCCTTTTCTGCTATGGGCCTGAAAGCGCTTCAAATATTCTTTTGCAGATATTACACAAAGAGTGTTTCCAAACTGCTTAATCAAAAGAAAGATTCAACTCTGTGAATTGAAGGCACACATCACAAAACAGTTTCTGAGAATGCTTCTGTCTAGTTTTTATGTGAAGGTATTTCCTCTTCCACCATAGGCCACAAAGCGCTCCAAATACCCACTTGCAGATTCTACAAATAGAATGTTTCAAAACTGTTCAATCAAAAGAAAATTTCAAGTATCTCAGAATGCTTCTGTCTAGTTTTTATGTGAAGATATTTCCTTTTTAGCTATAAGCCTCAAAGCACTTAAAATATCCATTTGCAGTTACTACAAAAAGAGTGTTTCCAAACTGCTCAATCAAAAGAAAAGTTCAACTCTGAGTGATGAATGCACACATCACAAAGAAGTTTCTGAGAATTCTTCTGTCTAGTTTTTATGTGAAGATATTTCCTTTTCCACCATAGGCCTCAAAGCACTCCAAATATCCACTTTCAGATTCTACAAAAAGAGTGTTTCCAAACTGCTCAATAAAAAGAACCTTTTAACCCAATGAGATGAATGTGCACATCCAAAGATATTTTTCAGAAAGCTTCTGTGTAGTTTTTATGTGAAGATATTTCCTTTTCCATCATAATAGGCCTCAAAGTGATCCAAATATCCACTTGCAGATTCTACAAATAGAGTGTTTCAAAATTGCTCAATCAAAAGCAAGGTTCAACTCTGTGAGGTGAATGCACACATCACAAACAAGTTTCTCAGAATGCTTCTGTCTAGTTTTTATGTGAAAATATTTCCTTTTCAACATAGGACTCAAAGCGGTCCAAATATCCATTTGCAGTTACTACAAAAACAGTTTTTCCAAACTGATCAATCAAAAGAAAGATTCAGCTCTGTGAGATGTATGCGCACTTCACAAAGAAGTTCCACAGAATGCTTCTGTCTAGTTTTTATGTGAAGTTATTTGCTTTTCCACCGTAGGCCTCAAAGCGCTCAGAATATCCACTTGCAGATTCTACATAAAGAGTGTTTCCAAACTGCTCAATCAAAAGAAAGGTTCAACTCTGTAAGATGAATGTACACATCCCAAAGAAGTTTCTCAGAATGCTTCTCTCTAGTTCTTACATAAAGATATTTCCTTTTCAGCTATAAGCCTCAAAGCGTTCCAAATATCCATTTGCAGTTACTACAAAAAGAGTGTTTCCAAACTGCTCAATCAAAAGAAAGGTTTAACTACGAGAACTGAATGCACACATCACAAAGGAGTTTCTGAGAATACTTCTGTCTAGTTTCTATGTGAAGATATTTCCTTTTCCACCATAGGACTCAAAGCACTCCTAATGTCCACTTTCAGATTCTACAAAAAGAGTGTTTCAAAACTCCTCAATCAAAAGAATGGTTCAACTCTGTGAGATGAATGCACACATAACAAAGAAGTTTCTCAAAATTCTTCTGTGTAGTTTTTATGTGAAGATGTTTCCTTTTCAGCTTTAGGCCACAAAGAATTCCAAATATCCATTTGCAGTACTCCAAAATAGTTTTTCCAAACTGCTCAATCAAAACAAAAGTTCAACTCTGAGTGTTGAATGCACACGTCACAAAGAAGTTTCTGAGAATGCTTCTGTCTAGTTTTTATGTGAAGATATTTCCTTTTTCACAACAGGCCTCAAAGTGCTCCAAATATCCGCTTGCAGATTTTGCAAAAAAAGTGTTTCAAAACTGCTCAATCAAAAGAAAGGTTTAACTCTGTGAGATGAATGCACATATCACAAAGAAGTTTCTCAGAATGCTTCTATCTAGTTTTTATGTGAAGATATTTCCTTTTCAGCTATAGGCCTCAAAGCACTCCAAATATACAATTGCAGTCACCACAAAAAGAATGTTTCCAAACTGCTGAATCAAAGGAAAGGTTCAACTCTCTGAGTTGAATGCACACATCACAAGGAAGTTTCTGAGAATGGTTCTGTCAAGTTTCTACGTTTAGATATTTCCTTTTCGGCAATAGGCCATAAAGCGTTCCAAATATCCACTGGCAGATCCCACAGAAAGAGTGTTTCAAAACGGCTCAATCAAAAGATAGATTCAACACTGTGAGATGAATGGCACATCCAAAGAAGTTTCTCAGAATGCTTCTGACTAGTTTTCATGTGAAGATATTCCCTTTTCCACCATTGGCCTCAAAGCACTCCAAATATCCACTTGCAGATTATACAAAAAGAGTTTTTCCAAACTGCTAAATCAAAAGAAAGTTTCATCTCTGTAAGTTGAAGACACACATCATAAAGAAGTTTCTGAGAATGCTTCTGTCTAGTTTTTATGTGAAGATATTTGCCTCTTGACCATAGGCCTCAAAGTGCTCCAAATATCCACTTGCAGATCCTACGAAAAGTGTGTTTCAAAGCTGCTCAATCAGAAGAAAGGTTCAACTCTCTGACCTCAATGCACACATCACAAAGAAGTTTCTCAGAATCCTTTTGTCTAGTTGCTATGTGAAGATATTTGCTTTTCCACCATAGGTCTCAAAGCGCTCTGAATATACACTTGCAGAATTTACAAATAGAGTGTTTCAAAACTTCTCAATGAAAATAAATGTTCAAATCTGTGAGGTGAATCCACACAATACAAAGAAGTTTCTGAGAATGCTTCCGTGTAGTTTTTATGTGAGGATGTTTCCTTTTCAGCTACAGGCCTGAAAGAGCTCCATATATCCATTTGCAGTTACTACAAAAAGAGTGTTTCCAAACTGCTCAATCAAAAGAAAGGGTAAGCTCTGAGAGTTGAATGCACACACCACAAAGAAGTTTCTGAGAATGCTTCTGTCTAGTTTTTATGTGAAGATATTGCACTCACAGAGTTTAACGTGTCTTTTGATTGAGCAGTTTTGAAACAGTCTTTTTGTAGAATCTGCAAGTGGATATTTGGAGCGCTTTGAGGCCTATGGTGGAAAAGCAAATATATTCACATAAAAACTAGAAACAAGCATTCTGAGAAACTTCTTTGTGATGTGTACATTCACCTCACAGTGTTGAACCTTTCTTTTGATTGAGCAGTTTGGAAACACCCCTTTTGTAGAATCTGCAAGTGGATTTTTGGAGCGCTTTGTGGCCTATGGTAGAAAAGGAAATATCTTCTCATAAAAACTGGACAGAAGCATTCACAGAAACTTCTTTGGGATGTGTGAATTCCACTCAAAGTGTTGAACCTTTCTTTTGATTCAACAGTTGGAAACACACTTTTTGTAGTATCCGCAAATGGATATTTGGAGCACTTTGAGGCCCATAGCTGAAAAGGAAATATCTTCTCATAAAAACTAGACAGAAGCATTCAGAGAAATTTCTTTGTGATGTGTGCATTCACCTCACAGACTAGAACGTTTCTTTTGATTGAGCAGTGTTGAAACAATCTTTTTGAATCTTCTGCAAGTGGATATTTGGACAGCTTTGAGGTCTATGGTGGAAAAGGAAATATCTTCACCTAAAAACTAGACTGAAGCATTCTCAGAAACTTCTTTGGGATGTGTGTGTTCAACTGACAGTGTTGAACTTTTCTTTTGATTGAGCAGATTGGAAACACTCTTTTTTAGTATCTGCAAATGGATATAAGAGCGCTTTCAGGCCTATAGCTGAGGAGAAAATGTCTTCACATAAAAACTAGAGAGAAGCACTCAGAGAAATTTGTTTGTAATGTGTGCATTCTCTTCACAGTGTTGAACATTTCTTTTCATTGAGCAGCTTGGAAACACTCTTTTTGTAGAATCTGAAGGTGGATATTTGGAGCATTTCGAGGCCTACAGCTGAAAAGGAGATATCTTCACATAAAAACTGGAAAGAAGAATTCTGAGAAACTTCTTTGTGATGTTTGCATTCATCTCACAGAGCTGAAAATTTCTTTTAGTTGAGCTGCTTTGAAACACTCTGTTTTCCAATCTGCAAGTGGATTCAATTCAAAGAATTGAACCTTTCCTTTGATTGACCAGTTTGGAAACACTCTTTTTGTAGTGTCTGCAAATGGATATTTGCAGCGCTTTGAGGCCTCTTGCTGAAAATGAAATATCCTCACGTAAAACTAGACAGAAGCATTCTGAGAAACTTCTTTGTGATGTGTGCATTCATCTCACAGAGTTGAAACTTTCTTTTGATTGAGCAGTTTTGAAACACTCTCTTGGTGGAATCTGCAATAGGATATTTGGAGCTCTATGAAGCCTATGTTGGAAAAGGAAATATCTTCACATAAAAACTAGACAGAAGCATTCTCAGAAAACACTTAGTGATGTGTGCATTCATCTCATGGAGAAGAACCTTTCTTTTGATGGAGCAGTTTGGAATCAGTCTTTTTGTAGTATCTACAAAAGGGTATTTGGAGTGCTTTCAGGCCTGTGGTGGAAAAAGAAATATCTTCACATAAAAACTAAATAAAAGCATTCTGAGAAACTTCTTTTTGATGTGCATATTCCTCTCATAGAGTTGAACCTTTCTTTCGACTGAGCAGTTTTGAATCACTCTTTTTTTTAATCTGAAAGTGGATATTTTGTTTGCTTGGAAGCCTATGGTGGAAAAGTAAATATCTTCACATAAAAACTAGATAGAACATTCTGAGAAACTACTTTGTGATGTGTGCATTCAACTCACAGTGTTGAAACTTTCTTTTGATTGAGCAGTTTGGAAACATTCTTTTTGTTGTATCTGCAAATGGATATTTGGAGTGATTTGAGGCATATAGCTGAAAAGGAAGTATCTTCACATAAAACTAGACAGAAGCATTCTGAGAAACGTCTTAGTGATAGATGCATTTATCTCGTAGAGTTGCACCTTTCTTTTAATTAAGCAGTTTTGAAACTCTCTTTTTGAAGAATCTGCAAGTGGATATTTGGAGCGCTTTAAGGCCTATGGTGGAAAAGGAAATATCTTCACATAGAAACTATACAGAAGAATTCTCAAAAACTTCTTTGGTATGTGTGCATTCAACTCTCATATTTGAAACTTTCTTCTGATTGAACAGTTTGGAAACACTCTTTTGTAGTATCTGCAAATGGATAATTTCAGCGCTTTGAGGCCTACAGCTGAAATGGAATTATCTTCACATAAAAAGTAGACAGAAGCATTCTGAGATACTTCTTTGGGATGTGCGCATTTATCTCACAGAGTTGAAACTTTCTATTGATTGACCAGTTTTGAAACACTCTTGTTGCAGAATCTGCAAGCGGATATTTGGAGCCCTTTGAGGCCACTGGTGGAAAGCGAGATATCTTCACATAAAAAGTAGACAGAATCATTCTCAGAAACTTCTTTGTGATGTGTGCATTCAACATAGAGAGTTGAACTTTTCTTTTGATTGAGCAGTTTGGAAACATTATTTCTGTAGTATCTGCAAATGGATATTTGGAGTTCTTCGAGGCCTATAGCTGAAAAGGAAATATCTTCACAAAAAAACTGGACAGAAGCATTCTGAGAAACTTCTTTGTGATGTGTGCATTCATCTCACAGAGTAGAAACTTTCTTTTGCTGAACAGTTTTGAAACACTCTTTTTGTAGAATCTGCAAGTGGATATTTGGAGTGCTTTGAGGCCTATGTCAGAAAAGGAAATATCTTCACATAAAAACTAGACAGAAGCATTCTCAGAAACTTCTTTGTGATCTGTGCATTCAACTCACAGAGTTGAACCTTTCTTTTGACTGAACAGTTTGGAAACACTCTTTTTGAAGAAGCTATCAGTGGATATTTGCAGCGCTTTGAGGCCTACTGTGGAAAAGGAAATATCTTCACATAAAAACTATACAGAAGCATTCTCAGAAACTTCTTTGAGATGTGTGCATTTAACTCACAGAGTTGAACCTTTCTCTTGATTGAGCAGTTTGGAAACACTCTTTTTGTAGTAACTGCAAGTGGATATTTGGAGCGCTTTGAGGCCTACAGCTGAAAAGGAAATATCTTCACATAAAAACTAGACAGAAGCATTCATAGAAATTTCTTTGTGATGTGTTAGTTCATCTCCCTGAGTTGAACCTTTCTTTTGATTGAGCAGTTTTGAAACATTCTTTTTGTGGAATCTGAGAGTGGATATTTGGAGTGCTTTGAGGCCTATGGTGGAAAAGGAAATATCTTCACATAAAAACTAGACAGAAGCATTCTCAGAAACTACTATGTGATGTGTGCATTCGACTCAGAGAGTTGAACCTTTCTTTTGATAGAGCGGTTTTGAAACACTCTTTTTATAGAATCTGCAAGTGGATATTTGTAAAACTTTGAGGCCTGTGTTGCAAAAGGAATTATCTTCATTTAAAAACTAGACAGAAGCATTGTCAGAGACTTCTTCGTGATGTGTGCATTCAACTCACAGAGTTGAACTTTTCTTTTGATTGAACCATTTGGAAACACTCTTTTTGTAGTATCTGCAAATGGAATTTTGAATGCTTTTAGGCCTATAGTTGAAAAGGAAATATCGTCACATAAAAACTAGACAGAAGCATTCTGAGAAACTACTTTGTAATGTGTGCATTCATCCCTCAGAGTTGAACCTTTCTTTTGATTCAGCAGTTTTTAAACACTCCTTTTGTAGACTCTGCAAATGGATATTTAGAGTGCTTTGAGGCCTGTGGTGGAAAAGGAAATATCTTCACATAAAAACTAGATAGAAGCATTCTCAGAAAATTCTCTGTGATGTGTGCTTTCCTTTCACAGAGTTGAATCTTTCTTTTGATTGAGCCATTTGGAAACTCTCTTTTTGTACTATCTGCAAATGGATATTTTGTTCACTTTGAGGCGTATAGTTGAAAAGAAAATATCTTCACATAAAAACGACACAGAAGCATTCTCAGACACTTGTTTGTTTTGTGTGCATTCATCTCACCGAGTTGAGCCTGTCATTGATTGAGCAGTTTTGAAACACTGTTTTTGTAGAAGCTGCAAGTGGATATTTGGAGTGCTTTGAGGCCTATGGTGGGAAAGGAAATATCTTCAAATAAAAACTAGACAGAAGCATTCTGAGGAACTTCTTTGTGATATGTGCATTCAATTCACAGAGTTGAACTTTTCTTTTGATTGAGCACTTTGGAAACACTCTTTTTGTAGCATCTGCAAACAGATATTTGGAGCGCTTTGAGGCCTATAGTTGAAAGGGAAATATCTTCACATAAAAACTAGACAGAAGCATTCGGAGAAACTTCTTTGTGATGTGTGCATTCATCTCACAGAGTTGAAACTTTCTTTTCTTTGAGTAGTTTTGAAACTCTCTTTTTGTGGAATCTGCAACTGGATGATTGGAGTGCTTTGAGGCCTATGTTGGAAAAGGAAATATCATCACATAAAAACTAGTCAGAATCATTCTCAGAAAATTATTTGTAATGTGTGCATTCAACTCACAGAACTGAGCTATTCTTTCAACTAAGTTGTTTGGAAACACTCTTTTAGTAGTATCTGCAAATGGATATTAGAAGCGCTTTGAGGCCTATAGTTGAAAAGGAAATATCTTCATATAAACACTAGACAGAAGTATTCTGAGAAACTTCCTCGTGATGTCTGCATTCATCTCACAGAGTTGAACCCTTCTTTTGATTGAGCAGTTTTGAAACACTATTTTTTTAGAATCCGCATATGGATATTTGGAGCGCTTTGAGTCCTATGGTGGAAAAGGAAATATCTTTACATAAAAATTAGACAGAATCATTCTCAGAAATTAATTTGTGATGTGTGCATTCAACACACAGAGTTGAACCTTCCCTTGGATTGAGTAGTTTGAAAACACTGTTTTAATAGAATCTGCAAGTGGATATTAGGAGTGCTTTGAGGCCTATAGTTGAAAAGGAAATATCTTCACATAAACACCAGACAGAAGCAGTCTAAGATACTTCTTTGTGTTGTGTGCATTCATCTCACAGATTTGAACCTTTCTTTTGATTGAGCAGATTTGAAACACTGTTTTTGTAGAATCCGCAAGTGGTTATTTGGAGAGGTTTGAAGACTATGGTGGAAAAGGAACTACCTTCACATAAAAACTAGACAGAAGCATTCTCAGAAAACTTCTTTGTGATGTGTGAATTCAACTCACAGAGTTGAACCTTTCTTTTAATTGAGCAATTTGGATACACTCTTTTTGTAATGTCTGCAAATGGATATGTGGAACGCTTTGAGGCCTATAGTTGAAAAGTAAATGTTTTCACATAATAACTAGACAGAAGCATTCTGAGAAACTTCTTTGTAATGTGTGCATTCATCTCACAGAGTTGAAACGTTCTTTGGTTTTCGCAGCTTTCAAACACTCTTTTTGTGGAATCTGCAAGTGGATAATTGCAGTGGTTTGAGGCCTATCATGGAAAAGGAAATATCTTCACATAAATGTTAGACAGAAGCATTCTCAGAAAATTCTTTGTGAAGTGTGCATTTATCTCACAGAGTTGAACCTTTCTTTTGTTTGAGCAGTTTTGAAACTCTTTTTTTGTGGAATCTGCAAGTGGATAATTTTAACGCTTTGAGGCCTATGGTGGAAAAGGAATTCTCTTCATATAAAAACTAGACAGAAGCATTCTGAGAAATTCCTTTGTGATGTGTGCATTCGTCTCACAGAGTTGAACACTTGTTTTGATTGAGCAGTTTTGAAACATTCGTTTTGCAGAATCTGCAAGTGGATATTTGGAGCGCTTTGAAGCCTAAGGTGGAACAGGAAACAACTTCACACAAAAATTAGACAGAAGCAGTCTCAAAAAATTCTTTGTGATGCATGCATTCAACTAACAGAGTTGTACCTTTCTTTTGATTGAGCAGTTTGGTAACACTCTTTGTAGTATCTGCAAATGTAAATTTGAAGCGCTTTGAGGCCTTTAGCTGAAAAGGGAATATCTTCACATAAAAACTAGACAGAAACATTGTCAGAAAACTCTTCCCATTGTGTGCATTCAACACACAGATTTGAACCTTTCTTGTGATTGAGCCCTTTGGAGACACTCTTTTTGTAATATCTGCAAATGGATATTTTGATCGCTTTGAGGGTTGAAGTTGAAAAGCAAATATCTTCACATAAAAACTAGACAGAAGAATTCTGAGAAAATTTTTGTGATGTGTGCATTCATCTCACAGAGTTGAACCTTTCTTTTGATTGAGCAGTTTTGAAAAACTCGTTTTGTAGAATCTGCAAGTGGATATTTGGCACGCTTTGTGGCCTATGGTGTAAAAGGAAATATCTTCACATAAAAACCAGACAGATGCATTCTCAAAGGCTTCTTTGTGATTTGGGAATTCAACTCACAGAGTTGAACCTTTCTTTTGATAGAGCAGTTTGGAAACACGTTTTTTGTAGTTTCTGAAAATGGATATTTTCAGCACTTTTAGGCCTACAGTTGAAAAAGAAATATCTTCACATAAAAACTAGAAGGAAGCATTCTGAGAAACTACTTTGTAATGTGTGCAGTCATCCCACAGAGTTGAACCTTTATTTTGATTGAGCAGTTTTTAAACACTCCTTTTGTAGACTCTGCAAGTGGATATTTTGAGCGCTTTGAGGCCTATGGTGGAAAAGGAAATATCATCACATAAAAACTAGACAGAAGCATTCTCAGAAACTTCTTTGTGGCGTGTGCATTCAATTCACAGAGTTGAACCTTTCTTTTGATTGAGCAGTTTGGAAACACTCTTTTTGTAGTAACTGCAAAAGGATATTTGGAGCATTTTGAGGCCTATAGCTGAAAAGGAAATATCTTCATATAAAAACTAGACAGAAGCATTCAGAGAAACTTCATTGTGATGTGTGCATTCATCTCTCAGGGTTGAAACTTTCTTTTGATTGAGCAGTTTTGAAACACTCTTTTTGTGGAATCTGCAAGTGGATATTTGGAGTGCTTTGAGGCCTCTGGTGGAAAAGGAAATATCTTCACATAAAAACTAGACAGAAACATTCTCAGAAACTTCTTTGAGATGTGTGCATTTAACTCACAGAGTTGAACCTTTCTCTTGATTGAGCAGTTTGGAAACACTCTTTTTGTAGTAACTGCAAGTGGATATTTGGAGCGCTTTGAGGCCTACAGCTGAAAAGGAAATATCTTCACATAAAAACTAGACAGAAGCATTCATAGAAATTTCTTTGTGATGTGTTAGTTCATCTCCCTGAGTTGAACCTTTCTTTTGATTGAGCAGTTTTGAAACATTCTTTTTGTGGAATCTGAGAGTGGATATTTGGAGTGCTTTGAGGCCTATGGTGGAAAAGGAAATATCTTCACATAAAAACTAGACAGAAGAATTCTCAGAAACTTCTTTGCGATTTTTGCATTCAACTCACAGAGTTGAACCTTTCATTTGATTGAGCAGTTTGGAAACAGTCTTTTTATAGTATCTGCCAATGGATATTTGGAGTGCTTTCAGGCCTATAGCTGAAAACAAATTATCTTCATAAAAAAACTAGACAGAAGCATTCTTAGAAACATCTTCGTGATGTGTGCATTCATCTCACAGAGCTGAATATTTCTTTTGTTTGAGCAGTTTGGAAAGAGTCTTTTTGTACTAACTGTAAATGGATATTTGAGCGCTTTGAGGCTTATAGCTGAAAAGAAAATATCTTCACATAAAAACTAGACAGAAGCATTCAGAGAAACTTCTTTGTGATGTGTGAATTCACCTCACAGAGTTGAAACTTTCTTTTGATTGAGCAGTTTTGAAACACCCTTTTTGTAGAATCTGCAAGTGGATATTTGCAGTGATTTGAGGCCTATGGTGGAAAAAGAAATATATTCACATAAAACTGGATGGAAGCATTCTCAGAAACTACTTTGTGATGTGGGCATTCAACCCACAGGGTTGAACCTTCCTTTTGATTGAGCAGTTTGGAAACACTCTTTTTGTAGAATCAACAAATGCATATTTGGAGCACTTTTAGGACTATAGCTGAAAAGGAAATATCTTCACATCAAAACTAGACAGAAGCATTCTGATAAACTTCTTTGTGAAGTACCCATTTGTCTCACAGAGTTGAACCTTTCTTTTGATTGAGCAGTTTTGAAACACTCTTTTTGTGGAATCTGCAAGTGGATATTTGGAGTGCTTTGAGACCTATGGTGAAAAAGGTAATATCTTCACCAAAAAACTAGACAGAAGCATTCTCAGAAACTTTTAATGATACATACATTCAACTCACAGAGTTGAACTTTTCTTTTGATTGCGTAGTTTGGAAACACTCTTTTTGTAGTATCTGCAAATGGTTATTTGGAGCACTTTGTGGTCTAGGTCTATAGCTGAAAAGGAAATATCTTCCTATAAAAAATAGACAGAAGCATTCAAAGAAATACTTTGTGATATGAGCATTCATCTCACAGATTTGAACCTTACTTTTGATTGAGCACTTTGAAACACTCTTTTTGTAGAATATGCAAATGGATATTTGGAGTGCTTTGAGGCCTATGGTGGAAAAGGAAATATCTTCACATAAAAACTAGACAGAAGCATTCTCAGTAGCTCCTTCATGATGTGTGCATTCATCTCACAGATTTGAAACTTTCGTTGGATTGAGCATTTTTGAAATACTCTTTTTGAAGGATTTGCAAGTGTATATTTTGAGTGCTTTGAGGCCTGTGGTAGAAAAGGTAATATCTTCACAGAGAAACTAGACTGAACGTTTATCAGAAACTTCTTTGTGCCTTCAACTCACAGAGTTGAAACTTTCTTTTGATTGAGCAGTTTGGAAACACTCTTTTTGTAGTAAGTGCAAATGGATAATTGGAGCACATTGAGGCCTGCTGCTGAAAAGAAAATATCTTCACATAAAAACTAGACAGAAGCATTCAGAGAAACTTCTTTGTGATGTGTTCATTAAACTGACAGAGTTGAACATTTCTTTTGATTGAGCAGTTTTGAAACACTCTTTTTGTGGAATCTGCAAGTGGATATTTGGAGTGCTTTGAGGCCTCTGGTGGAAAAGGAAATATCTTCACATAAAAACTAGACAGAAGCATTCTCAGAAACTTCTTTGAGATGTGTGCATTTAACTCACAGAGTTGAACCTTTCTCTTGATTGAGCAGTTTGGAAACACTGTTTTGTAGTAACCGCAAATGGATATTTGGAGTGCTTTTAGTCCTATGGTGGAAAAGGAAATATCTTCACATAAAAATTATACAGCAGCATTCTGTGAAACTTCTTTGTGATGTGTGCATTCGTCTTACAGAGTTGAATCTTTCTTTTGATTGAGCAGTTTTGAAACACTCTTTTTGTAGAATCTGCAAGTGGACATTTGGAGCGCTTTGAGGCCTATGGTGGAAAAGGAAATATTTTCATATAAAAACTACAATGAAGCATTCTCAGAAAATTTTTTGTGATGTGTGCTTTCAACTCACAGACCTGAACCATTCTTTTGATTGAGCAGTTTTGAAACACTCCTTTTGTAGTATCTGCACATGGATATTTGGAGTGCTTTGAGGCCTATAGTTCAAAAGGAAATATCTTCACATAAAAACTAGACAGAAGCATTCTCAGAAACTTCTTTGTGATGTGTGCATTCAACTCACAGAGTTGAATCTTTCTTTTATTAAGCAGTTTGGAAACACTCTTTTTGTAGTATCTGCAAATGGATATTTAGAGTGCCTTGAGGGATATGGTGGAAAAGGAAATATCTTCACATAAAAACTAGACAGAAGCATTCTCAGAAACTTCTTTGTGATGTGTACATTCAACTCACAGAGCTGAATCTTTCTTTTGATTGAGCAGTTTTGAAACACTCTTTTTGTAGAATCTGCAAGTGGATATTTGGAGCGTCAGGATGCCTATGGTGGGAAAGGAAATATCTTCACATAGAAACTAGACAGAAGCATTCTCAGAAACTTCTTTAAGATGCGGGCATTCATCTCACAGAGTTGAAACTTTCTTTTTATTGTGCCATTTGGTAACACTCTTTTTGTAGTATCTGCACTTGATATTTGGAGCACTTTGGGGCCTATGGTGGAAGAGGAAGTATCTTCACATAAAAACTAGACAGAAGCATTCTGAGAAATGCCTTTGTGATGTGTGCGTTTGTCTCACACAGTTGAACCTTTGTTTTCACTGAGAAGTTTTGAAACACTTTTTGTAGAATCTGCGAGTGGATACTTGGAGCGCTTTGAGGCCTATGGTGGAAAAGGAAATAACTTCACATAAAAAGTAGACAGAAGCATTCTGAGAAACTTGTTTGTGATGTGTGAATTCATGTCACAGAGTTGAATCTTTCTTTTGATTGAGCAGTTTTGAAACACTCTTTTTGAAGAATCTGCAAGTGGATATATGGAGCGCTTTGAGGCTTATGGTGGAAAATGAAATATTTTCACAAAAAAACTAAACAGAAGCATTCTCAGAAACTACTTTGTGATTTGTACACTCAACACACGGAGTTGAACCCTTCTTTTGATTGAGCAGTTTGGAAACACTCTTTTTGTAGTATCTGCAAATGGATATTTGATGTGCTTTAAGGCCTATTGTGGAAAACGAAATGTAGCTGAAAAAAAAATCTGCACATAAATGCTAGACAGAAGCATTCTGAGAATTTTCTTTGTGATGTGTCCATTCATCTCACAGAGTTGAACCTTTCTTTTGATTGAGCAGTTTACCTTTTTTTATTTTATTTTATTTTTATTTATTATTATTACACTTTAAATTTTAGGTTGCATGTGTACAATATGCAGGTTAGTTACATATGTATACATATGCCATGCTGGTGTGCTGCACCCATTAACTTGTCATTTAGCTTTAGGTCTATCTCCTAATGCTATTCTTCCCCCCTCCGCCCAACCCACAACAGTCCCCAGAGTGTAATGTTCCCCTTCCTGTGTCCATGTGTTCTCATTGTTCAATTCTCAACTATGAGTGAGAACATGCAGTGTTTGGTTTTTTGATTTTGCGATAGTTTACTGAGAATGATGATTTCCAATTTCATCCATATTCCTACAAAGGACATGAACTCATCATTCTTTATGGCTGCATAGTATTCCATGGTTTATATGTGCCACATTTTCTTAATCCAGTCTATCATTGTTAGACATTTGGGTTGGTTCCAAGACTTTGCTATTGTGAATTGTGCCGCTATAAACATTAGTGTGCATGTAACTTTATAGCAGTATGATTTATAGTCATTTGGGTATATACCCAGTAATGGGATGGCTGGGTCAAATGGCATTTCAAGTTCTAGATGCCTGAGAAATCGCCACACTGACGTTCACAATGGTTGAACTAATTTACAATCCCACCAACAGTGTAAAAGTAATCCTATTTTTCCACATCCTCTCCAGCACTTTTTGTTTCCTGACTTTTTAAAGATTGCCATTCTAACTGGTGTGAGCTGCTATCTCATTGTGGATTTCATTTGCATTTCTCTGATGGCCAGTGATGGTGAGCCTTTTTCCATGTGTTTTTTGGCTTCATAAATGTCTTCTTTTGAGAGGTGTCTGTTCATGTCCTTTACCCACTTTTTCATGGGGTTGTTTGTTTTTCCTTGTAAATTTGTTTGAGTTCATTGTAGATTCTGGATATTAGCCCTTTGTCAGATGAGTAGGTTGCAAAAATTTTCTCCCATTTTGTAGGTTGCCTGTTTACTCTGATGGTAGTTTCTTTTGCTGTGCAGAAGCTCTTTAGTTTAATTAGATCCCATTTGTCAATTTTTGCTTTTGTTGTCATTGCTTTTGTTGTTTTAGACATGAAGTCCTTGCCCGTGCCTATGTACTGAATGGTAATGCCTAGGTTTTCTTCTAGGGTTTTTATGGTTTTAGGTCTAACGTTTAAGTCTTTAATCAATAACCAATTAATTTTTGTTTAAGGTGTAAGGAAGGGATCCAGTTTCAGCTTTCTACATATGGCTAGCCAGTTTTCCCAGCACCATTTATTAAATAGGGAATCCATTCCCCATTGCTTGTTTTTCTCAGGTTTGTCGAAGATCAGATAGTTGTAGATATGCAGCATCATTTCTGAGGGCTCTGTTCTTTTCCATTGATCTATATCTCTGTTTTGGTACCAGTACCATGCTGCTTTGCTTACTGTAGCTTTGTAATATAGTTTGAAGTCAGGTAGTGTGATGCCTCCAGCTTTGTTCTTTTGGCTTAGGATTGACTTGGTGATGTGGGCTCTTTTTGGTTCCATATGAACTTTAAAGTAGTTTTTTCCAATTCTGTGAAGAAAGTCATTGGTAGCTGGATGGGGTTGGCACTGAATCCATAAATTACCTTGGCCATTTTCACGATATTGATTCTTCCTACCCATGAGCATGGAATGTTCTTCCATTTGTTTATATCCGCTTTTATTTCATTGAGCAGTGGTTTGTAGTTCTCCTTGAAGAGGTCCTTCACGTCCCTTGTTAATTGCATTCCCAGGTGTTTTATTCCCTTTGTCGCAATTGTGAAGGGGAGTTCACTCATGATTTGGTTTTCTGTTTGTCTGTTGTTGGTGTATAAGAATGCTTGTGATTTTTGTACATTGATTTTGTATCCTGAGACTTTGCTGAAGTTGCTTATCAGCTTAAGGAGATTTTGGGCTGAGACAATGGGGTTTTCTAGATATACAATCATGTCATCTGCAAACAGGGACAATTTGACTTCCTCTTCTCCTAATTGAATACCCTTTATTTCCTTCTCCTGCCTGATTGCCCTGGCCAGAACTTCCAACACTATGTTGAATAGGAATGGTGAGAGAGGGCTTCCTTGTCTTGTGCCAGTTTTCAAAGGGAATGCTTCCAGTTTTTGCCCATTCAGTATGATATTGGCTGTGGGTTTGTCATAGATAGCTCTTATTATTTTGAGATACATCCCATCAGTACCTTATTTATTGAGAGTTTTTAGCATGAAGGGTGGTTGAATTTTGTCAAAGGCCTTTATTGCATCTATTGAGCTAATCATGTGGTTTTTCTCTTTGGTTCTGTTTAAATACTGGATTACTTTTACTGATTTGTGTATGTTGAACCAGCCTTGCATCCCGGGGATGAAGCCCACTTGATCATGGTGGATAAGCTTTTTGATGTGCTGCTGGATTCGGTTTGCCAGTATTTTATTGAGGATTTTTGTATCAATTTTCATCAAGGATATTGGTCTAAAATTCTCTTTTTTGGTTGTTTCTCTGCCTGGCTTGGGTATCAGGATGATGCTGGCCTCATAAAATGAGTTAGGGAGGATTCCCTCTTTTTCTATTGATTGGAATCATTTCAGAAGGAATGGTACCACTTACTCCTTGTACCTCTGGTAGAATTCGGCTGTGAATCCATCTGGTCCTGGACTCTTTTTGTTTGGTAAGCTATTGATTATTGCCACAATTTCAGAGCCTTTTGTTGGTCTATTCAGAGATTCAACTTCTTCCTGGTTTAGTCTTTGGAGGGTGTATGTGTCGAGGAATTTATCCATTTCTTCTAGGTTTTCTAGTTTATATTTGCGTAGAGGTGGTTGTAGTATTCTCTGATGGTAGTTTGTATTTCTGTGGGATCAGTGGTGATATCCCCTTTATCATTTTTTATTGCATCTATTTGATTCTTCTCCCTTTTCTTCTTTATTTGTCTTGCTAGTGGTCTCTCAGTTTTGTTGATCCTTTCAAAAAACCAGCTTCTGGATTCATTAATTTTTTGGAGGGTTTTATGTGTCTCTATTTCCTTCAGTTCTGCTCTGATCTTAGTTATTTCTTGCCTTCTGCTAGCTTTTGAATGTGTTTGTTCTTGCTTTTCTTGTTCTTTTAATTTTGATGTCAGGGTGTCAATTTTGGATCTTTCCTGCTTTCTCTTGTGGGCATTTAGTGCTATAAATTTCCCTCTACACACTGCTTTGAATGCGTCCCAGAGATTCTGGTATGTTGTGTTTTGTTCTCGTTGGTTTCAAAGAACATCTTTATTTCTGCCTTCATTTTGTTATGTGCCCCGTAGTCATTCAGGAGCAGGTTGTTCAGTTTCCATGTAGTTGAGTGGTTTTGAGTGAGTTTCTTAATCCTGAGTTCCAGTTTGATTGCACTGTGGTCTGAGAGTCAGATTGTTATAATTTCTGTTCTTTTACATTTGCTGAGGAGAGCTTTACTTCCAACTATGTGGTCAATTTTGGACTAGGTGTGGTGTGTTGCTGAAAAAAATGTATATTCTGTTGATTTGGGGTGGAGATTTCTGTAGATGTCTATTAGGTACACTTGGTGAAGCTGAGTTCAATTCCTGGGTATCCTTGGTAACTTTCTTTCTCATTGATGTGTCTAATGTTGACTGTGGGGTGTTAAAGTCTCCCATTATTATTGTGTGGGAGTCTAAGTCTCTTTGTAAGTCACTCAGGACTTGCTTTATGAATCTGGGTGCTCCTGTATTGGGTGCATATATAATTAGGATAGTTAGCTCTTCTTGTTGAATTGATCCCTTTACCATTATGTAATGGCCTTCTTTGTCTCTTTTGATCTTTGTTGGTTTAAAGTCTGTTTTATCAGAGACTAGGATTGCAACCCCTGCCTTTTTTTGTTTTCCATTTGCCTGGTAGATCTTCCTCCATCTTTTTATTTTGAGCCTATGTGTGTCTCTGCACGTGAGATGTGTTTCCTGAATACAGCACACGGCTGGGTCTTGACTCTTTATCCAATTTGCCAGTCTGTGTCTTTTAATTGGATATTTAGTCCATTTACATTTAAAGGTAATATTGTTATTTGTGAATTTTATCCTGTCATTATGACGTTAGCTGGTTATTTTGCTCATTAGTTGATGTAGTTTCTTCCTAGCCTTCATGGTCTTTACAATTTGGCATGATTTTGCAGCAGCTGGTACTGGTTGTTCCTTTCCATGTTTAGTGCTTCCTTCAGGAGCTCTTTAAGGGCAGGCATGGTGTTGACAAAATCTCTCAGCATTTGCTTGTCTGTAAAGGATTTTATTTCTCCTTCACTTACGAAGCTTAGTTTGGCTGGATATGATATTCTGGGTTGAAAATTCTTTTCTTCACATCCCTTGTAAGTTGGATTCCTAGGTATTTTATTCTCTTTGAAGCAATTGTGAATGGGAGTTCACTCATGATTTGGCTCTCTGTTTGTCTGTTATTGGTGTATAAGAATGCTTGTGATTTTTGTACATTGATTTTGTATCCTGAGACTTTGCTGAAGTTGCTTATCAGCTTAAGGAGATTTTGGGCTGAGACAATGGGGTTTTCTAGATATACAGTCATGTCACCTGCAAACAGGGACAATTTAACTTCCTCTTTTCCGAATTGAATACCCTTTATTTCCTTCTCCTGCCTGATTGCCCTGGCCAGAACTTCCAACACTATGTTGAATAGGAGAGAACTACAAATCACTGCTCAATGAATTAAAAGAGGATACAAACAAATGGAAGAACATTCCATGCTCATGGGTAGGAAGAATCAATATCATGAAAATGGCCATACAGCCCAATGTAATTTATAGATTCAATGCCATTCCCATCAAGCTACCAATGACTTTCTTCACAGAATTGGAAAAAACTACTTTAAATTTCATATGGAACCAAAAAAGAGCCCACATCACCAAGTCAATCCTAAGCCAAAAGAACAAAGCTGGAGGCATCACGCTACCTGACTTCAAACTACACTACAAGGCTACAGTAAGTAAAACAATATGGTACTTTTACCAAAACAGAGATATAGATCAATGGAACAGAACAGAGTCCTCAGAAATAACGCCACATATCTACAACTATCTGATCTTTGACAAACCTGAGAAAAACAAGCAATGGGGAAAGGATTCCCTATTTAATAAGTGGTGCTGGGAAAACTGGCTAGCCATATGTAGAAAGCTGAAACTGGATCCCTTCCTTACACCTTGTACAATAATCAATTCAAGATGGATTAAAGACTTAAATATTACACCTAAAACCATGAAAACCCTAGAAGAAATCCTAGGCATTACCATTCAGGACATAGGCATGGCCAAGGACTTCATGTCTAAAACACCAAAAGCAATGACAACAAAAGCTACAATTGACAAATGGGATCTAATTAAACTAAAGAGCTTCAGCACAGCAAAAGAAACTACCATCAGAGTGAACAGGAAACCTACACAATGGGAGAAAATTTTTGCAACCTACTCATCTGACAAAGGGCTAATATCCAGAATCTACAATGAACTCAAACAAATTTACAGGAAAAAACTAACAACCCCATCAAAAATTGGTGAAGTATATTAACAGACACTTCTCAAAAGAAGATATTTATGCAGCCAAAAAACACATGAAAAAATGCTCATCATCACTGGCCATCAGAGAAATGCAAATTAAAACCACAATGAGATACCATCTCACATCAGTTAGAATGGCAGTCATTAAAAAGACAGGAAACAACAGGTGATGGAGAGGATGTGGAGAAATAGGAACACTTTTACACTGTTGGTGGGACTGTAAACTAGTTCAACCATTGTGGAAGTCAGTGTGGTGGGTCCTTAGGTATCTAGTATTGGAAACACCGTTTGACCCAGCCATCCCATTACTGGGTATATACACAAAGGATTATAAATCATGCTGCTATAAAGACAAATGCCCACGTATGTTTTTTTGCAACACTATTCACAATAGCAAAGACTTGGAACCAACCCGAATGTCCAACAATGATAGACTGGATTAAGAAAATGTGGCACATATACACCATGGAATACTATGCAGCCATAAAAAATGATGAGTTCATGTCCTTTGTAGGGACATGGATGAAATTGAAAATCATCATTCTCAATAAACTATCACAAGAACAAAAAACCAAACACCGCATATTCTCCCTCATTTGTGGGAATTGAACAATGAGAAGACATGGACACAGGAAGGGGAACATCAGACTCTGGGGACTGTTCTGGGGTTGGGGGAGGGGGTAGGGATAGCATTGGGAGATATACCTAATGCTAGATGACGAGTTAATGGGTGCAGCGCACCAGCATGTCACATGTATACATATGTAACTAACCTGCACATTGCGCACATGTACCCTAAAACTTAAAGTATAACAATAATAAAAAAAAAGGAAACTCACAAATAATAAAGTAGACTTCTTTCACACTAAAAATGATTTCTGACACCAAAAAAAAAAAAAAAAAAGAAAGAAAATTCTTTTCTTTAAGAAGGTTGAATATTGGCCCCTACTCCTTTCCGGCTTGTAGAGTTTCTGCCGAGGATCTGCTGTTAGTCTGATGAATTTCCCTTTGTGGGTAACCCGACCTTTCTCTCTGGTTGCCCTTAATATTTTTCCTTCATTTCAACTTTGGTGAATCTGACAATTATGTGTCTTGGAGTTGCTCTTCTCAAGGAGTATCTTTGTGGCATTCTCTGTGTTTCCTGAATCTGAATGATGGCTTGCCATGCTAAATTGAGGAAGTTCTCCTGGATAATTTCCTGCAGAGTGTTTTCCAACTTGGTTCCATTCTCCCCGTCACTTTCAGGTACACCAATCAGTCGTAGATTTGGTCTTTTCACATAGTCCCATATTTCTTGGAGGCTTTCTTCATTTCTTTTTATTCTTTTTTCTCTAAACTTCCTTTCTTGCTTCATTTCATTCATTTCATCTTCCATCACTGATACCCTTTCCTCCAGTTGATTGCATTGGCTGTTGAGGTTCTGCCTTCTTTACGTACTTTTGAGCCTTGCATTTCAGCTCCATCAGCTCCTTTAAGCACTTCTCTCTATTGGTTATTCTAGCTCTACATTCGTCTATTTTTTTTTTTTCAAATTTTTTAACTTCTTTGCCTTTGGTTTGAATTTCCTCCTGTAGCTCAGAGTAGTTTGATCGTCTGAAGCCTTCTTCTCTCAACTCATCAAAGTCATTTTTTTGTCCAGCTTTTTTCCATTGCTGGTGAGGAGCTGCATTCCTTTGGAGGAGGAGAGGTGCTCTGCGTTTTAGAGTTTCCAGTTTTTCTACTCTGTTTTTTCCCCATCTTTGTGGTTTTATCTACTTTTGGTCTTTGACGATGGTGATGTACAGATGTGTTTTTGTTGTTGATGTCCTTTCTGTTTGTTAGTTTTCCTTCTAAAAGACAGGACCCTCAGCTGCAGGTCTGTTGGAGTTTTCTACAGGTCCACTCTTGACCCTGTTTGCCTGGGTATCAGCAGTCTTGGCTGCAGAACAGTGTACTTTTGTGAACCGCGAATGCTGCAGTCTGATCGTTCCTCTGGAAGTTTTGTCTCAGAGGAGTGCCTGGCCGTGTGAGGTATCACTCTGCCCCTACTGTGGGGTGCTTCCCAGTTTGGCTGCTTGGGGATCAGGGGTCAGACACCAACTTGAGGACGCAGCCTGCCCGTTCTCAGATCTCCAGCTGTATAGTGGGAGAAGCACTGCTCTCTTCAAAGCTGTCAGATAGGGACATTTAAGTCTATAGAGGTTACTGCTGTCTTTTTGATTGTCTGTGCCCTGTCCCCAGAGGTGAAGCCTACAGAGGCAGGCAGGCCTCCTTGAGCTGTGGTGGGCTCCACCCAGTTCGAGGTTCCAGGCTGCTTTGTTTTCCTAAGCAAGCCTGGGAAATGGTGGGCTTCCCTCCCCAAGCCTCACTGCCATCTTGCAGTTTGATATCAGACTGCTGTGCTAGCAATCAGTGAGACTCCATGGGCATAGGACCCTCTGAGCTATGTATGGGATATAATCTCCTGGTGTGAAGTATTTTAAGCCCATCAGAAAAGTGCAGTATTAGAGTGGGAGTGACCCGATTTTCCAGGTGCTTTCTGCTACCCCTTTCTTTGACTAGGAAAGGTAACTCCATGACCCCCTGTGCTTCCTGAATGAGGCAATGCCTCGCCCTGCTTCAGCTCACGCACGATGCACTGCACCCACTGTCCTGCACTCACTGTCTGGAAATCCCTAGTGAGAGGAACCCAGTACCTCAGATGGAAATGCAGAAATAACCCAACTTCTGGGTCCCTTGCACTGGGAGCTATAGACTGGAGATGTTCCTATTCGGCCATCTTAGCTCCAACCAACTATCTGTCTAGTTTTTATGTGAAGTTATTTCCTTTTCCAATAGAGGAGACAAGCACTACAAATATCCACTTGCAGATTCTACAAAAAGAGTGTTTGAAAACTGCTCAATCAAAAGAAAGGTTCAACTCTGTGACATGAATGGACACATCACAAAGAAGTTTCTCCTAATGCCTTTGTTTAGCTTTTATGTGAAGATTTTCCCTTTTCCACCACTGGCCTCAAAGCACTCCAAATATCCAATTGCAGACTCTACAAAAAGAGTGTTTCAAAATTCCTCAGTCAAAAGACAGGTTCAAATCTCTGAGATGAATTCACACTTCACAAAAAGTTTCTCAGAATGGTTCTTTCTAGTTTTTATGTGAAGGTATTTCCTTTTCAGCTATAATCCACAAGGTGCTCCAAATATTCACTTGGAGATATTACAAAAAGAGTGTTTCCATGCTGCCCTGCCAAAAGAAAGGTTCAACTCTGTGAGTTGAATGCACACATCCCAAAAAAGTTTCTGAGAATGCTTCTGTCTAGTTTTTATGTGAAGATGATACTTCCTTTTCCATGATAGGCCTCAAACCACTCCAAATATCCACTTGCAAATTCTACAAAAAGAGTGTTTCAAAACTTCTTAATCAAAAGAAAGGCTTAACAATGTGAGATGAATGCACACATCACAAAGAAGTTTCTCAGAATGCTTCTGTCTAGTTTTTATGTGAAGATGTACCCTTTTCAGCTGTAGGCCTCAAAGCGCTCCAAATATTCATTTGCAGGCATTACACAAAGAGTGTTTTCAAATTGCTCTACCAAAAGAAAGATACAACTCCATGAGTTGAATTCACACATCCCAAAGAAGTTTCTGAGAATGCTTCTGTCTAGTTGTTATGTAAAGATACTTCCTTTTCCACCATAGGCCTCAAAGCGCTCCAACTATCCACTTACAGATTCCACAAAAATAGTGTTTCAAAACTACTTAATCAAAAGAAAGTTCCAACACTGTGAGATGAATGCACACATCACAAAGAAGTTTCTGAGAATGCTTCTGTCTAGTTTTTATGTGAAGATATTTCCTTTTCAGCTATAGGCCCCAAAGCACTCCAAATACCCATTTGCACATCCTACAAAAAGAGTGTTTGCATGCTGCTCAATCAAAAGAAATGTTCAACTGTGTGAGTTCAAAGCAAACATCCCAAAGAAGTTTCTGAGAATGCTCTGTCTAGTTTTCTTGTGAAGATATTTCCTTTTCTAACATAGGGTTCAAAGCGCTCCAAATATCCACTTGCAGATACTACAAAAAGAGTGTTTCCAAACTGCTCAATCAAAAGAAAGGTTCAGCTCTGTGAGTTGAAAGCACACATCCCAAAGAAGTTTCTGAGAATGCTTCCGTCTAGTTTTTATGTTAAGATATTTCCTTTTCAACTACAGGCCTAAAAGCATTCAAATATCCACTTGCAGTTGCTACAAAAAGAGTGTTTCCAAACTGGTCAATCAAAAGAAAGGTTCAACTCTTATAGTTGAATGCACACATCACAAAGCAGTTTCCGGAAATGCTTCTGTCTAGTTTCTATGTTCAGATATTTCCATTTCCACCATAGGCCTCAAAGCATTCCAAATATCCACTTGCAGATTCTACAAAAGACTGTTTCAAAACTGCTCAATCAAAAGAAAGTTTCTCCTCTGTGAGGTGAATACACACATCACAAAGAAGTTACTCTGAATGCTTCTGTCTTTTTTTAGGTGAAGATATTTCCTTTTCAGCTATAGGCCTCAAAACGCTCCAAATATCCATTTGCAGTTACTACAAAAAGAGTGTTTCCAAACAGCTCAATCAAAAGTAAGGTTCAACTCTGTGAGTTGAATGCACACATCACAAAGAAGTTTCTCAGAATGCTTCTGTCTAACTTTTATGTAAAGATATTTCCGTTTCCACCACAGGACTCAAAACACTCCAACTATCAACTTGCAGATTCTATAGAAGCAGTGTTTCAAAACTGCTCAATCAAAAGAAAGTTTCAACTCTGTGAGATGAAAGCGCACATCCAAAGAAGTTTCTCAGAATGCTTCTGTGTCGTTTTAAGTGAAGATATTTCCTTTTCAGCTATAGGCCTCAAAGCACCTCAAATATCCATTTGCAGTTACTACACAAAGAGTGTTTCAAAACTGCTGAATCAAAACATTCAGCTCGGTGAGATGAATGTGCACTTCACAAAGAAGTTCCTCTGAATGCTTCTGACTAGTTTTAAGTGCAGCTATTTCCTGTTCCACCATAGGTCTCTAAGCGCTTCAAATATCCACTTACAGATTCTACAAAAACAGTCTTTCCAAACTGCACTATCAAAAGAACAGTTCAACTCTGAGAGTTGAATACATACATCACAAAGAAGTTTCTGAGAAATCTTCTGTCTAGTTTTTATGTGAAGATATTTCCTTTTCCAGCATAGGCCTCAAAGCACTCCAAATATCCACTTGCAGATCCTATAAAAAGAGTGTTTCAAAACTTCTCAATAAAAGGAAAGGTTCAACTCTGTGAGATGAATGCACACATCAGAAGGTAGTTTCTCAGAATGCTTCTGTCTAGTTTTTTATGTGAAGATATTTGCTTTTTTGCTATAGGCCTCATAGAATTCCTAATATCCATTGGCAGTTACTACAAAAAGAGTGTTTCCAAACTGCTCAATTAAAAGAAAAGTTCAACTTTTAGTGTTGAATACACAGATCACAAAGAAGTTTCTGAGAATGCTTCCGTCTAGTTTTTATGTTAAGATACTTCCTTTTCCATAATAGGATTCACTGCGCTCAAAATATCCACTTGCAGATTCTACAAAAAGAGTCTTTCAAAACTTCTCAATCAAAAGAAAGGTTCAGCTCTGTGAGATGAATGCACACACATCCCAAAGTAGTTTCTCAGAATGCTTCTGTCAAGTTTTCATGTGAAGATATTTCTTTTTCAGCTATAGCCCTCAAAGCGGTCCAAATATACCTTTTCAGTTACTATAAGAGTGTCTCTAAACTGTTCAATCAAAAGAAATATTCAACCCTGCAAGTTGAATGTGCCCAACAAAAAGAAATTTCTGAGAATGTTTTTGCATAGTTTCTATGTGAAGATATGTCCCTTTCCATCATAGGCCTTAAAGCACTCAAAATATCAACTTGCAGATTCTACAAAAAGAGTGTTTCAAAACTGCTCAATCAAAAGAAAAGTTCAACACTGTGAGATGAATGCACACATCACAAAGAAGTTTCTGAGAATGCTTCTGTCTAGTTTTTATGTGAAGATATTTCCTTTTCCGGAATAGGCCTCAAAGTGCTCCAAATATACATTTGTAGTTACTACAAAAAGAGTGTTTCCAAACTGCTCAATCAAAGGGAAAGTTCAGCACTGTGTGTTGAATGCACACATCACAAAGAAGTTTCTGAGAATGTTTTTGTCTAGTCTATATGTGATGACATTTCCTTTTCCACCATAGGCCTCAAAGTGCTCCAAATATCCACTTGGGATGCTACAAAAAGAGTGTTACAAAGCTTCTCAATCAAAAGAAAAGTTCAACTCTGTGAGATGAACGCACACATCACAAAGAAGTTTCTCAGAAGGCTTCTGTCTAGTATATATGGGAAGATATTTCGTTTTCCACCATAGGCCTCAAAGTGCTCTGAATATCCACTTGCAGATTCTACAAAAAGAGTGTTTTTCGAAACTGCTCAATCAAAAGAAAGGTTCAACTTTGTGAGTTGAATGCACTCAACACAAAGTAGTTTCTGAGAATGCTTCTCTCTAGTTTCTATGTAAAGATATTTCCTTTTCCACCGTAGGCCTCAAAGCTTTCCAAATATCCACTTGCAGATACTACAAAATGAGTGTTTCAAAACTTCTCAAGCAAAAGAAAGGTTCAACTCCATGAGATGAATGCACCCATCCAAAGGAAGTTTCTCAGAATGATTCTGTCTAGTTTTTTTTATGTGAAGATATTTCCTTTTCAGCAATAGGCCTCAAAGCACTCCAAATATCGATTTTTAGTTACTACAAAAAGAGTGTTTCCAAACTGCTCAATCAAAAGAAAAGTTCAACTCTGAGTGTTGAATGCACACAACACAAAGAAGTTTCTGAGAATGCTTCTGTCTAGTTTCTATGTGAAGATGATTCCTTTTCCACCTTAGGCTTCAAAGTGCATCAAATATCCACTTGCAGATTCTACAATAGGAGTGTTTCAAAACTGTTAAATCATAAGAAAGTTTCAACTCTGTGAGATGAATGCACACATCACAAAGAAGTTTCACAGAATGGTTCTGTCTAGTTTCTACATGAATATATTTATTTTTCTGCTATAGGCCTCAAAGCACTCCAGATATCCATTTGCAGTTTCTACAAAAAGAGTGTTTCCAAACTGCTCAATCAAAAGAAAGGTTCAACTCTGATAGTTGAATGCACACATCTCAGAGAAGTTTCTCAGAATAATTCTGTGTAGTTATTATCTGTAGATATTTCCTTTTTCACCATGGGCCACAAAGGGCTCCAAATATCCACTTGCAGATTCTAGAAAAAGAGAGTTTCAAAACGGCTCTGTCAAAATATAGGTTCAACACTGTGAGATGAATGCAAACATTGCAAAGATGTTCCTCAAAATGCTTCTGTGTAGTTTTTATGTGAAGATATTTCCTTTACCACCATAGGCCTCAAAGTGCTCCAAATATCCACTTGGAGATTCTACAAAAAGAGTGTTTCAAAACTAGTCAATCAAAAGAAAGCATTATTTCTGTGAGACGAATGCACACATTGCAAAGAAATTTCTCAGAATGCTTCTGTGTAGTTATTATGTGAAGATATTTTATTTTTCACCATACACCACAAAGGACTCTAAATATACACTTGCAGGTTCTACAAAAAGAGAGTTTCAAAACTGCTCTATCAAAAGATAGGTTCAACTGTGTGAGATGAATGCACACATCACAAAGACGTTTGTGAGAATGCTTCTGTGTAGTATTTACGTGAAGATAATTCCTTTTCCAAAACAGGCCTCAAAGTGCTCCAAATATCTACTTGTAGATTCTCCAAAAATGTGTTTCAAAACCACTCAATCAAATGAAATGTTCAACTCTGTGAGATGAATGCACACATCACAAAGAAGTTTCCCAGAATTCCTCTGTGTAGTTTTTATGGGAAGGTATTTCCTTTTCCACCATCGGCCACAAAGGGCTCCAAATAACCACTTGCAGATTCTACAAAAAGAGAGTTTCAAAACTGCTCTACCAAAGGATAGGTTCAACTCTGCGAGCTGAATTCACACAATACAGAGAAGTTTCTCAGAATGCTTCTGTGTAGTTTTTATGTGAAGATAATTCCTTTTCAACCATAGACCTCAAAGCGCCCCAAATATCCACTTGCAGATTCTACAAAAAGAGTGTTTCAAAACTGCCCTATTAAAAGAAAGGTTCAACTCCGTGAGATGAATGCACACATCATGAAGAAGTTTCGGGGAATGCTTCTGTGTAGTTTTTATGTGAAGATATTTCCTTTTCCACAACAAGCCTGAAAGTGCACCAAATATCCATTTGCAGATTCTACAAAAGGGTGTTACCAAACTGCTCAATCAAAACAGAGTTTCAATTCTGCTACATGAATGCAGACATCATAAAGAAGTTACTCAGAATACTTTTGTGTATTCTTTATGTGAAAATATTTCATTTTCCACCATAGGCCACTAAGGGCTCCAAATATCCACTTGCAGATTCTACAAAAAGAGAGTTTCAGAATTTCTCTATAAAAAGATATGTTCAACTCTGTGAGGTGAATGCACACATCACAAAGAAGTTTCTTATAATGCTTCTGTGTAGTTTTTATGTGAAGGTATTTCCTTTTCCACCTTAGGCCTCAAAGCGTTCCAAATATCCACTTGCAGATTCTACAAAGGACAGTTTCAAAACGGCTCAATCAAAAGAAAGGTTGAACTCTGTGAGATGAATGCACACATCACAAAGGCGTTTCAGAGAATGCTTCTGTGTAGTTTTTATGTGAAGATATTTCCTTTTCCACAACAGACCTCAAAGCACTCCAAATGTCAACTTAAGATTCTACAAAAATAGTGTTTCCAAATTGCTCAATCAAAAGAGAAGTTCAACCCTGTGACATGAATGCACACTTAACAATGAAGTTTCTCAGAATACTTCTGAGTATTTTTTATGGGATGATATCTCCATTTCCACCATAGGCCACTAAGGGCTCCAAATATCCACTTGCAGACTGTGCAAAAACAGAGTTTCAAAACTGCTCTATCATAAGATATGTTCAACTCTGTGAGATGAATGCACACATCAGAACGTAGTTTCTCAGAATGCTTCTGTGTAGTTTTTATGTGAAGATATTTCCTTTTCCACCATAGGCCTCAAAACGTTGCAAATATCCACTTGCAGATTCTACAAAAAGAGTGTTTCAAAACTGCTCAATCAAATGAAATGTTCAACTCCATGAGATGAATTCACACATCACAAAGAAGTTTCTCACAATGCTTCTGTGTAGTTTTCAAGTGAAGATATTTCCTTCTCCACCACAGGCCACAAAGGGCTCTAAATATCCACTTGCAGATTCTACAAAAAGAGAGTTTCAAAACTGCTCTATCAAAAGAAAGGTTCGACTCTGTGAGATGAATGCACACAAAGCAAAGAAGTTTCTTATAATGCTTCTGCGTAGTTTTTAGGTGAACATATTTCCTTTTCCAAAATAGGCCTCAAATCAATCCAAATATCCATTTGAAGATTCTACAGAAAGTGTTTCAAAACTGCTCAATCAAAAGAAAATTCTGTGACTTGAATGCATACATCACAAAGAAGTCTCTCAGAATGCTTCTGTGTAGTTTTTATGTGAAGATATTTCCTTTTCCACCATAGGCCTGAACGCGCTCCAAATATCCATTTGCAGATTCTACCAAAAGAGTGTTTCCCATCTTCTCAATCAGAACAGTTTCAATCTGCGACATGAATGCACACATCACAAAGAAGTTTCTCAGAATAGTTTTGTGTATTTTTTATGTGAAGATATTTCCTTTTCCACCATAGGCCACTGAGGGCTCCTAATATCCACTTGCAGATTCTACAAAAAGAGAGTTTCAAAACTGCTCTATCAAAAGATATGTTCAACACTGTGAGATGAATGCACACATCACAAGAAGTTTATCAGAATGCTTCTTTGTAGTTTTTATTTGAAGATATTACCTTTTACACCATAGGCCTCAAAGCGCTCCAAATATCCACTTGCAGATCCTACAAAAAGACTGTTTCAAACCTGCTCGATCAAAGGAAACGTTCAACTCTGTGAGATGAATGCACACATCACAAAGAAGTTTCGGAGAATGCTTC
Source organism: Homo sapiens (assembly GCF_000001405.40). Lineage (NCBI taxonomy): Eukaryota > Metazoa > Chordata > Mammalia > Primates > Hominidae > Homo > Homo sapiens. Next base: position 50,758,607 of record NC_000011.10, read on the forward strand.
TGTGTAGTTTTTATTTGAAGATATTTCCTTTTCCACAACAGGCCTCAAAGCACTCCAAATGTCTACTTAAGATACTACAATAAGAGTTTTTCCAAGCTGCTCAAACAAAAGAGAAGTTGAACTCTGTGATATGAATGCACACATAACAAAGAAGTTTCTCAGAATACTTCTGTGTTTTTTTTTTTTTATGTGAAGATATCTTCTTTTCCAACAGAGGCCTCTAAGGGCTCCAAATATCCACTTGCAGATTCTACAAAAACATAGTTTCAAAACTGCTCTATTAAAAGATATGTTCAACTCTGTGAGATGAATGCACACATCAGAAATTCGTTTCTCAGAATGTTTCTGTGTAGTTTTCATGTGAAGATATTTCCTTTTCCACCATAGGCCTCAAAGCGCTCCACATATCCACTTGCAGATTCCACAAAACAAGTGTTTCAAAACTGCCCAATTAAATGAAATGTTCAACACTGTGGGATGAATTCACTCATCACAAAGAAGTTTCTCAGAATGCTTCTGTGTAGTTTTTAAGTGAAGACATTTCCTCCTCCACCACAGGCCGCAAAGAGCTCTAAATATTGACTTGCAGATTCTACAAAAAGAGTGTTTCAAAACTGCTCAGTCAGAAGATAGGTTCAACTCTGTGAGAGGAATGCACACATCACAAAGAAGTTTCTCAGAATGCTTCTGTATAATTTTTGTAAGATGATATTTCCTTTTCCACCATAGGCCTCAAAGCGTTCCAAATATTCACTTGCAGACCCTACAAAAAGATTGTTTCCAAACTGCTCAATCAAAAGAAAGGTTCAACTCTGTGAGTTGAATACACACATCACTAAGAAGTTTCTCAGAATGGTTCTGTGTAGTTTTTAAGTGAAGATATTACCTTTTCCAAAATAGGCCTCAAAGCACTCTAAATATCCACTTGAAGATTCTACAAAAACAGAGTTTCAAAACTGCTCAATACAAAGAAAGATTCAACTCTGTTAGATGAATGTACACATCACAAATAAGTTTCTCATAATGCTTCTGTGTAGTTTTTATTTTAAGATGTTTCCTTTTCCACCATAGGCCTCAAAGGGCTCCAAATATCTACTTGGGGATACTAGAAAGGAAGGTTTCAAAACTGTTCAATCAAAAGAAAAGTTCAACTCTGTGAGATGAATGCACACATCACAAGGAAGTTTCACAGAATGATTCTGTGTAGTTTTTAAATGAAGGTATTTCCTTTTCCACCATATTCCACAAACGGTCCCAAATACCCACTTTCAGATTTTACAAAAAGAGAGTTGCAAAACTTCTCCATCAACAGATACGTTCAACTCTGTGAGTTGAGTGCACACATCACAAAGAAATTTCTCAGAATGCTTCTGTGTAGTTTTTATGTGAAGATATTTCCCTTTCCACAATAGGCCTCAAAGTGCTCCAAATATCCATTTGCAGATTTACAAAAAGAGAGTTTCAAAACTGCTCAATCCAAGGAAAGTTTGAACTCTGTGAGATGAATGTACACATCACAAGGTAGTTTCTAAGAATGCTTCTGTGTGTCTTTTAGATGAAGATATTTTATTTTCCCCAATAGGCCTCAAAGTGCTCCTAATATCCACTTGAAGATTCTACAAAAACAGTGTTACAAAACTGTTCAATCAAAAGAAAGATTCAACACTGTGAGGTGAACGCACAAATCAGAAAGAAGTTTCTGAGAATGCGTCTGTGTGGTTTTTATGTGAAGATATTTCCTTTTCCACTATAGGCCTCCATGGTCTCCAAATATCCACTTGCAGATTCTTCTAAAAGTGTTTCCAAACTGCTCAATCAAAAGAAATATTCAACACTATGAGATGAATGCACACATCACAAAGAAGTTTCTCAGAATGCTTCTGTGTACTTTTTATGTGCAGATAATTCCTTTTCCACCATAGGCCTCAAAGTGCCCCAAATATCCACTTGCAGATTCCACAAAAAGAGAGTACCAAAACTGTTCTATCAAAAGATAGGTTCAACTCTGCGAGCTGAAAGCACACATCACAAAGAAGTTTCTCAGAATGCTTCTGTGTAGTTTTTAAGTGAAGATATTGACCTTTCCACCATAGGCTGCAAAGGGCTGCAAATACCCACTTGCAGATTCTACAAAAAGAGAGTTTCAAAACAGCTCAATCAAAGGAATGGTTCAACTCTGTGAGTTGAATGCCCACTTCACAAAGAAGTTTTTCAGAATGCTTCTGTGTAGTTTTTATGTGAAGATCTTTCCTTTTCCACCATAGGCCACAAAGGGCTCCGAATATCCACTGGCAGATTTTACAAAAGGAGATATTCAAAACTGCTCAATCAAAAATAGGTTCACCTCTGTGAGATAAATGCATACATCACCAAGAAGTTTCTCAGAATGCTTCTGTGTAGTTTTATGTGAAGATATTTCCTTTTCCACAGTAGACATCAAAGTGTTCCAAATATCCACATGTAGAACCTACAAAAAGAGTGTTTCAAAACTGCTCAATGAAAAGATTGGTTCAACTCTGTGAGATGAATGCGCACATCACAAAGAAGATTCTCAGAATGCTTCGGTGTAGTTTTTCTATGAAGATATGTGTTTTTCCACAGTAGGATTCTAACCACTCCAATTATCCACTTGCAGATACTTCAAAAATAGTGTTTCAAAACTGCTCAATCACAATAAAGCTTCAACTCTGTGAGATGAATGCACACATCACAAAGGAGTTTCTAAGAATTCTTCTGTGTAGTTTTTGTGTGAAGATATTTCCTTTTCCACATTAGGCCACTAAGTGCTCCAAATAACAACTTGCAGATTCTACAAAAAGAGTGTTTCAAAACTGCTCAATCAAAGGAAAGGTTTAATTCTGTGAAATGAATGCACACATCACAAAGAAGTTTCTCAGAATGCTTCTGTATAGTTTTTATGTGAAGATATTTGCTTTTCCACAGTAGGCCTCAAAGCGCCACAAATATCCACTTGCAGATCCTACTAAAACAGTGTTTCAAAATTGTTGAATGAAAAAAAAGTTTCAACTCTGTGAGAGGAATGTACACATCAAAAAGAAGTTTCTCACAATGCTTCTATGTAGCTTTTATTTTAAGATATTTCCTTTCCACCATAGGCAGAAAAGTGCTCCATATATCCACCTGCAGATTCTAGAAAAAGAGATTCAAAACTGCTCCATCAAAAAATAGGTTCAACTCTGTGAGTGGAATGCACACATCAGAAAGCAGTTTCTCAGAATCCTTCTGTGCAGTTTTTATGTGAAGATATTTGCTTTTCAAGAGTAGGCCTCAAAGCGCTCCAAATATCCACTTGCAGAGTCTACAAAAACAGTGTATCAAAACTGCTCAATAAAAACAAAGTTTCAACTCTGTGAGATGAATGCACACACCACAAAGAAGTTTCTCAGAATTCTTCTGTGTAATTTTACGTGAAAATATTTCCTTTTCCACAATAGGCATCAAATGTCTCCAAATATCCACTTGCATATTCTGCAAAAAGAGCTTTTCAAAACTGCTCAATCAAAAGAAATGTTTAACTCTTTAAGATGAATGCACACATCACAGAGAGGTTTCTCAGAATGCTCCGGTGTAGTTTTTATTTGGGGATATTTGCTTTTCCTCATTAGGCCTCAAAGCGTTCCAAATATCCACTTGCAGATTCTACAAAAACAGTATTTCTAAACTGCTCAATCAAAAGAAAACTTCAACTCGGTGAGATGAATGCACACATCACAAAGACGTTTCTCAGAATGCTTCTGTGTAGTTTTTATGTGAAGATATTTCCTTCTGCAGAATGGACCACAAAACCCTCCAAATATCCACTTGCAGATTCTACAAAAAGAGGGTTTCAAAGCTGCTCAATCAAAAGAAGGCTTCAAGTCCATGAGATGAACACAAACATCTCAAATAAGTTTCTCAGAATGCTTCTGTGTAGTTTTTATGCGAAGATATTTGCTTTTCCACTGTAGGTCTCAAAGCACTCTTAATATGCTCTTGCAGATTTTACAAAAACAGTGTTGCAAAACTGCTCAATCAAAAGATAGTTTCAACTCTGTGAGATGAATGCGCACGTCAAAAAGAAGTTTCTCAGAATGCTGCTGTGTAGCTTTTATGTGAAGAAATTTATTTTCCTCCTTAGGCTCCAAAACGCTCCAAATATCCAATGGCAGATTTTACAAAGGAGAGATTCAGAACTGCTCTGTGAGATGAATGCACACATCACAAAGAAGTTTCTCAGAATGCTTCTGTGAATATTTTATGTGAAGATATTTGATTTTCCACAGTAGGCCCAATATCGCTCCAAATATCCACTTGCAGATTCTACAGAAACAGTGTTCAAAACTGCTCAATCAAAAGAAAGGAATAACTCTGTGACAGGAATCCACACATCACAAAGAAGTTTCTCAGAATGCTTCTCTGTAGTTTTTACGTGAAGATATTTCCTTTTCCAAAAGAGGCCTCAAAGCACTCCAAATATCCACTTGCAGATCCTACAAAAAGACTGTTTCAAAACTGCTCAATCATAAGATAGGTTCAACCCTGTGAGATGAACGCACACATCACAAAGAAGTTTCCCAGAATGCTTCTGTGTAGTTTTTATTTGAAGATGTTTCCTTTTCCACCATAGGCTTAAAGGGCTCCAAATATCCACTTGCAGATTCTACAGAAAGAGAGATTCCAACTTGCTCTATCAAAAGATATCTACAACGCTGTGAGTTGAATGCACACATCACAAAGAACTTTCCCACAATGCTTCTGTGTAGTTTTTATGTGAAGATACTTCCTTTTCAACAATAGGCCTCAAAGCTCTCCAAATATCCACTTGCAGATACTGCAAAAAGAGAGATTCAAAACTGCACAATGAAAAGAGGTGTTTGACTCTGTGAGTTGAAAGCACACCTCACAAAGGAGTTTCTCAGAATGCTTCTGTGTAGTTTTTATGTGAAGATATTTCCTTTTACACCATAGGGCTCAAAGGGCTCCAAATATACACTTGTAGATTCTACAAAAAGAGAGATTCAAAACTGCTCAATCAAAAGATAGGTTCAACTCTGTGAGTTCAATGCACATATCACAGAGAAGTTTCTCATAAAGCTTCTGTGTAGTTTTTATGTGAAGATATTTCTTTTCCACAATAGGCCTCAAATGGCTCCAAATATCCATTTACAGATTCTATAAAAAGAGTGTTTCAAAACTGCTCAGTCAAAAGAAAGGTTCAACTCTGTGACAGGAATGCTCACCTCACAAAGAAGTTTCTCAGAATGCTTCTGTGAAGTTTTTATGTGAAGATATTTGCTTTTCCACAGTATGCCTCAAAGCGCTCCAAATATCCACGTCCAGATTTTACAAAGCAGTGTTTCAAAACTGCACAATGAAAGGAAAGGGTCACCTCTGTGAGATGAATGCACCCAACAAAAAGAATTTTCTCGGAATGCTTCTGTGTAGTTTTATTTGAAGATATTTCCTTTTCCACCATAGGCCACAAAGGGCTCCAAATATCAATTTGCAGATTCTACACAAAGAGAGATTCAAAACTGCTCAATCAAAAGATAAGTTCAACTCCGTGAGTTGAATGCTCACATCACAAAGATGTTTCTCAGAATGCTTCTGTGTAGCTTTTATGTGAAGATATTTCCTTTTTCATAATAGGCCTCAAATCTCTCAAAGTATCCACTTCCAGATTCTACAAAAAGAGTGTTACAAAACTGCTCAATCAAAAGAAAGTTTCCACTCTGTGTGATGAATCCACTCATCTCTAAGGAGTTTCTCTCAATGCTTTTGTGTAGTTTTTATTTGAAGATATTTCCTTTTCCACAATAGGGCAAACAGGGCTCCAAATACCCACTTTCAGATCCTATAAAAAAAGAGATTCAAAATTGCTCAATCAAAAGATAGGTTCAACTCTATGAGTTGAATGCACATATCAAAAAAAGTTTCTCAGAATGCCTCTGTGTAGTTTTTATGTGAAGATATTTCCTTTTCCACAGTAGGCCTCAAATCGCTCAAAATATCCACTTGCATATTCTACAAAAAGAATGTTTCTAAACTGCTCCATTAAAAGAAAGGTTCAACTCAGTGAGATGAATGCACACTTCACAAAGAAGTTTCTCAGAATACTTCTATGTAGTTTTTATTTGAAGACATTTCCTTTTCTACAACAGGCCGCAAAGGTCTCCAAATATCCACTTGCAGATTCTAGAAAAAGAGAGATTCAAAACTGCTCAATCAAAGGATATGTTCAATTCTGTGAGTTGAATGCACATATCACAAAGAAGTTTCTAAGAATGCTTCTGTGTAGTTTTTATGTTAAGATATTTCCTTTTCCACAGTAGGCCTCAAATCGCTTCAAATATCCACTTGCATATTCTACAAAAAGAGTGTTTCTAAACTGCTTCATCGAAAGAAAGGTTCAACCCAGTGAGATGAATGCACACATCACAAAGATGTTTCTCTTAATGATTCTGTGTAGTTTCTATGTGAAGATATTTGCTTTTCCAGAGTAGGCCTCAAAGCGCTCTAAATATCCACTTGCAGATTCTGCAAAAAGAGAGATTCAAAAATGCTCAAACAAAAGAAACGTTCAAATCTGTGTGATGAATGCACTCATCACAAAGAAGTTTCTCTTAGTGCTTCCGTGTAGTTTTTATTTGAAGATATTTCATTTTACACCATAGGGCGTAAAGGACTCCAAATATCCAATTGCAGATTCTACAGGAAGAGAGATACAAAACTGCCCAATCAAAAGATAGTTCAACTCTGTGAGTTGAATGCACACATCACAAAAGGTTTCTCAGAATGCTTCTGTATAGTACTTATGTGAAGATATTTCCTCACCCAAAATAGGCCTTAAAGCCCTTCAGATATCCACTTCCAGATTCTACAAAAAGAGTGTTTCAAAACTGCTTAAACAAAGAAAGTTTCAGCTCTGTGTGATGAATGCACTCATCACAAAGAAGTTTCTCTGAATGCTTCTGTGTAGTTTTCATTTGAATATATTTCCTTTTACACTATAGGGCGCAAAGGGCTCCAAATTTCCACTTGCAGATTCTACAAAAAGAGAGATTCAAAACTGCTCAATCAAGAGATAGGTTCAACTCTGTGAGTTGAATGCACACATCACAAAGAAGTTTCTCAGCATTCTTCTGTGTAGTTTTCACATGAAGATATTTCCTTGTCCCAAATAAGTCTCAAAGCTCTCAAAATATCCACTTGCAGATACTGCAAAAAGAGATATTCAAAACTGCTCCATCAAAAGACAGGTTCGACTCTGTGAGTTGAATGCACACATCACAAAGAAGTTTCTCAGAATGCTTCTGTGTAGTTTTTATGTGATGATATTTTCTTTTCCACAGTAGGCCTCAAAGCACTCGAAATATCCACTTGCAGATTCTACAGAAAGAGAGTTTCAAAACTGCTCTATCAAAAGATAGGTTCAGCTCTGTGAGTTGAATGCACACATCACAAAGAAGTTTCTAAGAATGCTTCTGTGTGGTTTTTATATGAAGATATTTACTTTTCCAAAATAGGCCTCAAATCCCTCAAAATATCCACTTCCAGATTTTACAAAAAGAGTGTTTCATTACTGCTTAATCAAAAGAAAGCTTCAACTGTGTGTGATGAATGAACTTATCACAAAGAAGTTTCTCTGTATGTTTCTAGTTTTTAATTGAAGATATTTCCTTTTCCACCATAGGGAGCAAAGGGCTCTGAATATCCACTTGCAGATTCTACAAAAAGAGAGATTCAAAACGGCTCAATCAAAAGATAGACTCAACTCTGTGAGTTGAATGCACACATCACAAAAGTTTCTCAGAATGCTTCTGTGTAGTTTTTATGTGAAGATATTTCCTTTTCCACAATAGGCCTCAAATCGCTTCAAATATCTACTTGCAGAGTCTACACAAAGAGTGTTTCAAAACTGCTCTATCAAAAGAAAGGTTCAACAGTGTGAGATGAATGCACACATCACAAAGAAGATTCTCAGAATCATTCTGTGAATTTTTTATATGAAGATATTTGCTTTTCCACTGTAGACCTCAAAGCGCTCCAAATATCCACTTGCAGATTCTACAAAAACTGTTTCAAAACTGCTCAATCAAAAGAAAGGATCAATTCTGTGAGATGAATGCACACATCACAAAGATGTTTCTCATAATGCTTCTGTGTAGTTTCTGTTTGAAGATATTTCCTTTCCCACCATGGGCAACAAAGGGCTCCAAATATCCACTTGCAGATTCTAAAAAAAGAGAGATTCAAAACTGCTCAATCAAAAAATAAGTTCAACTCTGTGAGTTGAATGCCCACATCACAAAGAAGTTTCTCAGAATACTTCTGTGTAGTTTTATTTGAAGATATTTCCTTTTCCACCATAGGGAGCAAAAGACTCCAAATATCCACTTGCAGATTCAACAAAAAGAGTGATTCAAAACTGCTCAATCAAAATATAGGTTCAACCCTTTGAGGTGTATGCACACATCACATAAATTTTCTCAGAATGCTTCTGTGTAGTTTTTACTTGAAGATATTTCCTTTTCCACCATACACCACAAAGGGCTCTAAATATCCAATTGCAGGTTCTACAAAAAGAGAGATTAAAAACTGCTCAATCAAAAGATAGATAGTTTCAACTCTTGAGTTGAATGCACACATCACAAAGAAGTTTCTCAGAATGCTTCGGCATAGTTTTCATGTGAGGATATTTGATTTCCACAATAGGCCTCAAAACTCTACAAATACATACTTGCAGATTCTGCAAAAAGAGAGATTGAAAACTGCTGAATCAAAAGATAGGTTAGACTCTGTGTGTTGAATACACACCTCACAAAGAAGTTTCTCAGAATGCTTCTGTGAACTTTTTATCTGAAAATATTTGCTTTTCCACAGTAGGCCTCAAAGAGCTCCAAATATTTACTTGCAGATTCTACGAAAAGAGTGTTTCAAAAGTGCTGAATCAAAAGAAAGTTTCAACTCTGTGAGATGAAAACACATCACAAAGTAGTTTCTCAGAATGCTTCTGTCTAGTTTTTATGTGAAGATATTCCCGTTTCGGACGAAGGCCTCAAAGCAGTCCAAATATCCAAATGCAGATTCTACAAAAAGAGTGTTTCAAAACTGCTCAATCATAAGATAGGTTCAACCCTGTCAGATGAATGCACACATCACAAAGAAGTTTCTCAGAATGTTTCTGTGTAGTTTTTATTTGAAGATATTTCCTTTTCCACCATAAGCCAGAAAGGGCTCCAAATATACACTTGCAGTTTCTTCAAGAGAGAGATTCAAAACTGCTCAATCAAACAGTTTGAACTCTGTGAGTTGAATGCAAACATCACAAAGAAGTTTCTGAGAATGCTTCTGTCTAGTTTTTATGTGAAGTTATTTCCTTTTCCACCTTAGGCTTCAAGGTGCTCCAAATACAACTTGCAGATTCTACAAAAAAGTGTTTCCAAACTTCTCAATCAAAAGAAATGTTCAACTCTATGAGATTAATGCACACATAACAAAGAAACTTCTCAGAATGCTTCTGACTAGTTTTTATGTGATGATATTTCCTTTTCAGTTATTGGCCTCAAAGCACTCCAAAAATCAATTTGCAGTTACTACAAAAAGATTGTTTCCAAACTTCTCAATCAAAAGAAAAGTTCAACTCTGAGAGTTGAATGCACACGTCGCAAAGAAGTTCCTGAGAATGCTTCTATCTACTTTCTACGTGAAGATTTTTCCTTTTCCACCATAGGCCTCAAAGCACTGCAATTATCCACTTGTAGATTCTATGAAAAGAGTTTTTCAAAACTGCTCAATAAAAAGAAAGTTTCAACTCTGTGAGTTGAATGTACTCATCACAAATAAGTTTCTGCGAATGCTTCTGTCTAGTTTTTATGTGAAGATATTTCCTTTTCCTCCATAGGCCTCAAAGCACTTCAAATTTCCACTTACAGATTCTACAAAAAGTGTTTCAAAACTTCTCAATCAAAAGAATGGTTCAACTTTGTGAGGTGAATGCACACATCACAAAGAAGTTTCTCAGAATGCTTCTGTCTAGTTATTTTTTGAACATGTTTCCTTTTCAGCTACAGGCCTCAAAGTGCTGCAAACATTCATTTGCAGTTACTACAAAAAGAATGCTTCCAAAGTGCTCAATCAAAAGAAAAGTTGAACTCTGAGAGTTGAATGCACACATTACAAAGGAGTTTCTGAGAATGGTTCTGTCCAGTTTTTATGTGAATATATTTCCTTTTCCACCACAGGCCTCAAAGCACTCCAAATATCCACTTGCAGATTCTACAAAAAGAGTGTTTCAAGACTTCCCAATCAAAAGAAAAGTTCAATTCCATTAGATGAATGCACACATCACAAAGAAGTTTCTCAGATTGCTTCTGTCTGGTTTTTACTTGAAGATATTTCTTTTTCCACCATACACAACAAAGCACTCCAAATGTCCACCTGCAGATTCTACAAAAAGAGTGTTTACAAGCGGCTCAATCAAAAGAAAGGTTCAACTCTGTGAGGTGAATGCACACATTACAAAGAAGTTTCTCAGAATTGTTCTGTCTAGTTTTTATGTGAGGATATTTCCTTTTCCAACATAGGCCTCAAAGCGATCCAAATGTCCACTTGCACATTCTGCAAAGGAGAGTTTCCAAACTGATCAATCAAAGGAAAGGTTTAACTCTGTGAGATGAATATACACATCTCAAAGAAGTTTCTCAGATTGCTTCTGTCTAGATTTTATGTGAAGATATTTCCTTTTCCAGCATAGGCCGCAAACGGCTCCAAATATGCACTTGCAGATTCTACAAAAAGAGTGTTTGCAAACTGCTGAATGACAAGAAAGATTCAACTCTGTGAGATGAATGCACGAATCACAAAGAAAATTCTCAGAAATCTTTTGTCTAATTCTTATGTAGATATTTCATTTTCCACTATAGGCCTCGAGGCTCTCAAAATGTCCACTTGCATATCCTACAAAAAAAGAGTTTCAAAACTGCTCTACCAAAAGAAAGTTTTGACTCTGTGAGATGAATGCACACATCACAAAGAAGTTTCTGAGATTGCTTCTGTCTAGATTTTATGTGAAGATATTTCCTTTTCTACCATAGGCCGCAAATCGCTCCAAATGTTCACTTGCAGATTCTACAAAAACAGTGTTTCCATACTGCTGAATCAAAAGAAAGTTCAACTCTGTGAGATGAACTCATGCATTACAAAGAAGTTTCTCAGAATTCTTCTGTCTAATTTTTATGTGAAGATATTCCCTTTTCCAACATAGGCCACAAAGCGCTCCAAATGTCCACTGGCAGATTGTACAAAAGGAGTTTCAAAACTGCTCAATCAAAAGAAGTCTTTAACGCTGTAAAATGAATGTGCATCTCACAAAGAAGTTTCTCAGATTGCTTCTGTCTAGATTTCATGTGAAGATATTTCCTTTTCTACCATAGGCCGCAAAGTGCTCCAAATGTCTGCTTGCAGATTCTACAAAAAGAGTGTCTCCAAACTGCTGAATCAAAAGAAAGATTCAACTCTGCCAGATGAACGCATGCATCACAAAGAAGTTTCTCAGAATTCTTCTTCTAGTTTTTATGTGAAGGTATTTCATTTTCCACCACAGGCCTGAAGGCCCTTGAAATGCCCATTTGCAGATTCTACAAAAAGAGAATTTCAAAACTGGTCCATCAAAAGAAGGGTTCAACTCTGGGAGATGAATTCACACATCACAAAGCAGTTTTTCAGAATGCTTCTATCTATTTTTTATGTGAAGATATTTCCTTTTCCACCATAGTCCTCAAAGCACTCCAAATGTCCACTTTCAGATTCTACAAACAGAGAGTTTCAAAACTCCTCAATCAAAAGAAAGGTTTAACTCTGTGAGATGAATGCACACATGACAAAGAAGTTTCTGAGATTGCTTCTGTCTAGATTTTATGTGAAAATATTTCCCTTTCTACCATAGGCCACAAAGTGCTCCAAATGTCCACTTGCAGATTCTACAAAAAGAGTGTTTCCAAACTGTTCAATCAAAAGAAATGTTCAACTCTGTGAGATGAATGCACACATCACAAAGAAGTTTCTCAGAATTCTTTGGTCTAGTTTTTATGTGAAGATATTTCCTTCTCAAATGTTGGCCACAAAGCAATCCAAATGTCCACTTTCAGATTACACAAAAAGAGTGTTTCCAAACTGCTCAATCAAAAGAAAGGTTCAACTCTGTGAGATGAATACACACATCACAAAGAAGTTTCTCAGAATTCTTCTGTCTGGTTTTTATGTGAGGATATTTCCTTTTCCAAGATAGTCCTCAAAGTGATCCAAATGTCCACTTGCAGATTCTGCAAAGGAGAGTTTCCAAACTGCTCAATAAAGGAAAGTTTTAACTCTGTGAGATGAATGCACACATCACAAAGAAGTTTCTCAGATTGTTTCTGTCTAGATTTTATGTGAAGATATTTCCTTTTCTACCGTAGACCGCAAACCACTCCAAATGTCCACTTGCAGATTCTATAAAAAGAGTGTTTCCAAACTGCCAAATGAAAAGAAAGATTCAACTCTGTGAGATGAACACACGCATCACAAAGCAGTTTTTCAGAATGCTTCTATCTAGTTTTTATGTGAAGATATTTCCTTTTCCACCCTAGGCCTCAAAGCACTCCAAATGTCCACTTGCAGATTCTACAAACAGAGAGTGTCAAAACTGTTCAATCAAAAGAAAGGTTTAACTCTGTGAGATGAATGCACACATGACAAAGAAGTTTCTGAGATTGCTTCTGTCTAGATTTTATGTGAAGATATTTCCTTTTCTACCGTAGGCCGCAAACCAGTCCAAATGTCCACTTGCAGATTCTATAAAAAGAGTGTTTCCAAACTGCCAAATGAAAAGAAAGATTCAACTCTGTGAGATGAACACACGCATCACAAAGCAGTTTTTCAGAATGCTTCTATCTAGTTTTTATGTGAAGATATTTCCTTTTCCACCCTAGGCCTCAAAGCACTCCAAATGTCCACTTGCAGATCCTACAAACAGAGAGTGTCAAAACTGCTCAATCAAAAGAAAGGTTTAACTCTATGAGATGAATGCACACATGACAAAGAAGTTTCTGAGATTGCTTCTGTCTAGATTTTATGTGAAGATATTTCCTTTTCTACCATAGGCCGCTAAGTGCTCCAAATGTCCACTTGCAGGTTCTACAAAAAGAGTGTTTCCAAACTGTTCAGTCAAAGAAATGTTCAACTCTGTGAGATGAACGCACACATCACAAAGAAGTTTCTCAGAATTCTTCGGTCTAGTTTCAATGTGAAGATATTTCATTTTCAAATGTTGGCCACAAAGCAATCCAAATGTCCACTTGCAGATTCTACAAAAAGAGTGTTTCCAAACTGCTCAATTCAAAGAAAGGTTCAACTCTGTGAGATGAATGCACACATCACAGGGAAGTTTCTCAGAATTCTTCTGTCTGTTTTTTATGTGAAGATATTTCATTTTACACCTTAGGCCTCAAGGCTCTCAAAATGTCCACTTGCAGATTCTACAAAAAGAGTATTTAAAAACTAGTCCATCAAAAGAAACGTTCAACTCTGCGAGATGAATGCACACATCAAAAAGAAGTTTCTCCCAATGTTTCTATCTGGTTTTTATGTGAAGATATTTCCTTTTTCCACCATAGGCCTCAAAGCACTCCAGGTGTCCAATTGCAGATTCTACAAAAAGAGAGTTTCAAAACTGCTCAATCAAAAGAAATGTTTAACACTGTGAAATGAATGCACACATCAAAAAGAAGTTTCTCAGATTGCTTCTGTCTTGATTTTATGTGAAGATATTATTTCCTTTTCTACCATAGGCTGCAAAGCGCTCCAAATGTCCAGTAGCAGATTCTCCAAAAAGAGTGTTTCCAAACGGCTCAATCAAAAGAAAGGCTCAATTCTGTGAGAGAACGCACGCATCACAGAGGAGTTTCTCAGAATTATTCTGTCTAGTTTTTATGTGAAGATATTTCCTTTTCCACCATTGGCCTCAAAGTGCTCCAAATGTCCACTTGCATATTTTATAAAAAGAGAGTTTCAAAACTCCTCAATTAAAAGAAAGGTTTAACTCTGTGAGATGAATGCACACATCTCAAAGAAGTTTCCCAGATTACTTCTGTCTACATTTTATGTGAAGATATTTCCTTTTCACCCACAGGCTGCAAAGCACGCCAAATGTTCACTTGCAGATTCTAAAAAAAGAGAGTTTCCAAACTGCTCAAGTGAAAGAAAGGTTCATCTCCATGAGATGAATGCACACATCACATAGAAGTTTCTCAGAATTCTTCTGTCTAGTTTTTTTGGGAATATATTTCCTTTTCCACCGTAAGCCTAAAAGGGCTCCAAATGTCCACTTGCAGATTCTACAAAAAGAGATTTTCAAAACTGTTCAATCAAGAGAAAGTTTTAACTCTGCGAGATGAATGCACACATCACAAAGAAGTTTCTCCGATTGCTGCTGTCTAGATTTTATGTGAATATATTTCCTTTTCTACCATAGGCTGCAAAGCGCTATAAAATGTCCACTTCCAGGTTCTACAAAAAGGGTGTTTCCAAACTCCTCTATCAAAACAAATGTTCAACTCCGTGATATGAACACACACATCACAAAGAAGTTTCTTAAAATTCTTCTGTCTAGTTTTTATGTGAAGATATTTCCTTTTCCACCATAAGCCTCAAAGCCCTCCAAATGTCCACTTGCAGATTCTGCAAAAAGAGAGTTTCAAAACTGCTCAATAAAAAGAAAGGTTTACCTCTGTGAGATGAATCCACAGATTACAAAGAAGTTTCTCAGATTGTTTCTGTCTACATTTTATGTTTAGATATTTCATTTTGCCCCATAGTCCACCAAGCGCTCCAAATGTCCAATTGCAGATTCTACAAAAAGAGTGTTTCCAAACTGCTCAATCAAAAGAAAGGTTCAACTCTGTGAGATGAGTGCATACATCACAAAGAAGTTTCTCAGAATTCTCTATCTAGTTTTTATGTGAAGATATTTCATTTTCCTACTTAGGCCTCAAGGCGCTCGAATGTCCACTTGCATATTCTACAAAAAGACTATTTCAAAACTGGTCCATCAATAGAAAGCCTCATCTCTAGCAGATGAACGCACGCATCACAAAGAAGTTTCTCAGAATGCTTCCATCTAGTTTTTATGTGAAGACATTTCCTTTTCCATCATAGACCTCAAAGCACTCAAAAAGTCCACTTGCAGATTCTACAAAAAGAGAGTTTCAAAACTGCTCAATCAAAGGAAGGGTTTAACCCTGTGAGATCAATGCATACATCACAAAGAGGTTTCTCAGATTAGTTCAGTCTAGATTTTATGTGAAGATATTAACTTTTCTACCACAGGCTGAAACATGCTGCAACATGCTGCAAATGTCCACTTGCAGATTCTACAAAAAGAGAGTTTCCAAACTGCTGAATCAAAAGAAAGGTTTAAGTCTTTGAGATGAATGCAGGAATCACAAAGAAGTTTCTGAGATTGCTTCTCTCCAGATTTTATGTGAAGATATTTCCTTTTCTACGTTGGGCCACAAAGCGCTCCAAATGTCCACTTGCAGATTCTACAAAAAGAGTGTTTCCAAACTCCCCAAACAAAAGAAATCTTCAACTCTGTGAGATGAATGCACACATCACAAAGAAGTTGCTCAGAATTCTTTTGTCTAGTTTTTATGTGAAAGTGTATCATTTTCCACCAAGGCCCCATGGCACCCGAAATCTCCCTTTGCAGATTCTACAAAAAAGAGTATTTCAAAACTGATCCATCAAAAGAAAGTTCCAACCCTGTGAGATAAATGCACACATCACAAAGAAGTTTCTCACAATTCTTCTGTCTAGTTTTTATGAGAAGATATTTCCTTTTGCACAATAGGCCTCAAAGTGCTCCAAATGTCCACTTGCAGATGCTGCAAAAAGACAGTTTCAAAACTGCACAGTTAAAAGAAAGGTTTAACTCTGTGAGATGAATGCACACATCACAAGAAGTTTTCTCAGAATGCTTCTGTGTAGACTTTATGTGAAGATATTTCCTTTTCTGCCTTAGACCACTAAGCACTGCAAATGTCCACTTGCAGACTATACAAAAAGAGTGTTTCCAAACTGCTAAAAGAAAAGAAAGGTTCCAAACTGTGAGATGAACGCACACATCACAAAGAAGTTGCACAGAATTCTTCTCTCTAGTTTTTATGTGAAAATATTTCATTTTCCAAAAAAGGTCACAGAGCACTCGAAATGTTCCCTTGCAGATTCTACAAAAAAAGTATTTCAAAACCAGTTCATCAAAAGAAAGATTCATCTATGGGAGATGAATGCACACATCACAAAGAAGTTTCTCAGAATGCTTCTATCTGTTTTTTATGTGAAGGTATTTCCTTTTCCATCGTAGGCCTCAAAGCGCTCCAAATGTCCACTTGCAGATTCTACAAAAAGAGAGTATCAAAACTGCTCAATTGAAAGAAAGGTCCAAATCTGTGAGATGAACGAACACATCACAAAGAAATTTCTCAGAATTCTTCTGTCTAGTTTTTATGGGACGATATTTCCTTTTCCACCATAGGCCTCAAAATGCTCCAAATGTCCAGTTGTGGATTCTACAAAAAGAGAATTTCAAAAATGCTCTATGAAAACAAAGGAAAACTCTGTGAGATGAATGCACACCTCATAAAGAAGTTTCTCAGATTGCTTCTGTGTAGATTTTAAGTGAATATATTTCCTTTTCTACCTTAGGCCTCAAAGCGCTCCAAATGTCCACATGCGGATTCTACAAAAAGAGTGTTTCCAAACTGCTCAATCAAAAGAAAGTTTCAACTCTGTGAGATGAACGAACACATCACAAATAAGTTGGTCAGAATTTTTATGTCTAGTTTTTATGTGAAGATATTTCATTTTACACCATAGGCCACAAGATGCTAGAAATGTCCACTTGCAGATCCTACAGAAAGAATATTTCAAAACTGGTCCATTAAAAGAAAGGTTCAATTCTGGAAGATGAATGCAGACATCACAAAGAAGTTTCTCAGAATTTTTCTGTCTAGTTTTTCTGTGAAGATATTTCCTTTACCAACATAGGCCTCAAAGCGCTCCAAATGTCTGCTTGCAGATACTGCATAAAGAGAGTTTCAAAACTGCTCAATGAAAAGAAAGGTTTAACTCTGTGAGATGAATGCACACATCACAAATAAGTTTCTCAGATTGCTTCTGTCTATTTTTTATGTGAAGATAGATCCTTTTCTAACATAGGATGCAAAGTGCTCCAGATGTCCACTTGTAGATTGCACAAAAAGAGTGTTTCCCACCTGCTCAATAAAAAGAAATGTTCATTTCTGTGAGATGAACGCATGCATCACAAAGGAGTTTCTCAGAATTTTTCCGTATGGTTTTTATGTAAAGATATTTCCTTTTCCACCATAGGCCTCAAACCGTACAAAATGACAACTTGCAGATTCTACAAAAAGAGAGTTTCAAAACTGCTGTATCAAAAGAAAGGTTCAATTCTGTTAGATGAATGCACACATCACAAAGAAGTTTCTCCGAATTCTTCTGTCTAGTTTTTATGTGAAGATATTACCTTTTCCATGATAGGCCTCAAATCGCTCCAAATGTCCACTTGCAGATTCAAAAAAAAAGAGAGTTTCAAAACTCGTCAATTAAAAGAAAGTTTTAATTGACTGTGAGATGAACGCACACATCACAAAGAAGTTTCTCAGATTGCTTCTGTCTAGATTTCATGTGAAGATATTTCCTTATCTTCTGTAGGCTCCAAAGCACTCCAAATGTTCACTTTCAGATTCTACAAAAAGAATATTTCCAAACTGCTCAATCAAAAGAAATGTTCAACTCTCTGAGATAAATGCACACATCACAAAGATGTTTCACAGAATTATTCTGTCTAGTTTTTATGTGAAGATATTTCATTTTCCACCATAGGCATCAAGGGGCTTGACATTTCCACTTGCAGATCCTACAAAAAAAGTATTTCAAAACTGGTCCATCAAAAGAAAGTTTCAACTCTGGGAGAGGAATGCACACATCACAAAGAAGTTTTTCAGATTGTTTGTCTAGATTTTATGTGAAGATATTTCCTTTTTTAACATAGGCCACAAGGCACTCTGAATGTCCCCTTGCAGATTCTACAAAAAGAGTGTTTCCAAACTGCTCACTCAATAGAAAGCTTCACTTCTCTGAGATGAACGCACACATCACAAAGAAGTTTCTCAGAATTCTTCCTTCTAGTTTTTCTGTGAAGATATTTCCTTTTCCACCAAATGGTTTAAAGTGCTCAAAATATCAACTTGAGATTTTACAAAAAGAGAGTTTCAAAACTGCACAATCAAAAGAAAGTTTTAACACTGTGAGATGAATACACACATCATAAAGAAGTTTCTCAGATTACTTCTGTCTAGATTTTATGTGAAAATATTTCCTTTTCTACCTTAGGCCACAAAGCGCTCCAAATGTCCACTTGAAGATTCTTCAAAAAGAGTGTTTCCAAACTGCTCGATCAAAAGAAAGGTTCAACTCTTTGAAGTGAATGCACACATCAGAAATAAGCTTCTCAGTATTCTTCTGTCTACTTTTTATGTGACAATATTTCCTTTTCCCCCTAGGCCTCAAAACACTCCAAATGTCCACTTGCAAATCCTACAAAAAGAGACTTTCAAAACTTCTCTATCAAAAAAAGGTTTAACGCTTTGAGATGAATGCACACATCACAAAGAAGTTTCTCAGATTGCTTCTATCTAGATTTTATGGGAAGATATTTCACTTTGGAACATAGGCCTCAAAGCACTCCAAATGTTGACTTGCAGATTCTACAAAAAGAGTATTTCAAAACTGATCCTTCAAAGGAAGGTTCAACTCTGGCAGATGAATGCACACATCACAAAGCTGTTTCGCAGATTGCTTCTGTGTAGTTTTTAGGCGAAGATATTTCCTTTTCTACCATTGGCCTCAAGGCACTCCAAATGTCCACTTGCAGATTCTACAAAAAGAGTGTTTCCAAAAGGGCTCACTCAAAAGAAAGAATCAACTCTGTGAGATGAAATCACTCATCACAAAGAAGTTTCTCAGATTGCTTCTGTCTAGTTTTTATGTGAAGCTTTTTCCTTTTCCAAAATAGGCCTCAAGCACTCAAAATATCCACTTGTAGATACTACAAAAAGATACTTTCTTAACTCCTCAAACAAAAGGAAGTTTTAACTCTGTGAGATGAATGCACACATTACAAAGAATTTTCTCAGATTGCTTTTATCTAGATTTTATGTGAAGATATTTCCTTTTTTCACATAGGCCACAAAGCGCTCTGAATGTCCCCTTCCATATTCTACAAAAAGAGTGTTTCCAAACTGCTCACTCAATAGAAAGCTTAAATTCTCTGAGATGAACGCACACATCACAAAGAAGTTTCTCAGAATTCTTCTGCTTATTTTTTATGTGAAGATATTTCCTTTTCCACCATAGGCCTCAAAGGGCTCCAAATGTCCACTTGCAGATTCTACAAAAAGACAGTTTGAAAACTCCTCAATCAAAATAAATCTTTAACTCTTTGAGGTGGATACACACATCTGAAAGAAGTTTCTCCGCTTCCTTCTGTCTAGATTTCATGTGAATATATTTCCTTTTCTGCCATAGACCGCAAGGCACTCCAAATGTCCAATTGCAGATTCTACAAAAAGAGTGTTTCCATACTGCTCAATAAAAGGAAAGGCTCAACTCTGTGAGAAGGATGCACACATCACAAAGTAGATTCTCAGAATTCTTCTCTCTAGTTTTTCAGTGAAGATATTTCCTTTTCCACCACAGGGTTCAAAGCACTCGAAATGTCAACTTGCAGATTCTACAAAAAGAGAGTTTCAAAACTGCACAATCAAAAGAAAGTTTTAACTCTGTGAGATGAATACAGACATCACAAAGAAGTTTCTCAGATTGCTTCTGTCTAGATTTTACGTGAAGCTATTTCCTTTTCTTCAAAAGGCCGCAAAGCACTCCAAATGTCCACTTGCAGATTCTACAAAAAGAGTGTTTCCAAACTGCTCAATCAACAGAAAGGTTCAACTATGTGAGAAGAACGCACACATTACAAAGTAGTTTCTCAGAATTCTTCCTTCTAGTTTTTCTGTGAAGATATTTCCTTTTCCACCAAAGGGTTCAAAGCACTCGAAATATCAACTTGCAGATTCTACAGAAAGAGAATTTCAAAACTGCACAATCAAAAGAAAGTTTTAACACTGTGAGATGAATACACACATCATAAAGAAGTTTCTCAGATTGCTTCTGTCTAGATTTTATGTGAAAATATTTCCTTTTCTACCTTAGGCCGCAAAGCACTCCAAATGTCCTTCTGTCTACTTTTTATGTGAAGATATTTCCTTTTCCCCCTAGGCCTCAAAGCGCTCCAAATGTCCACTTGCAAATTCTACAAAAGGAGACTTTCAAAACTTCTCTATCAAAAGAAAGGTTTAACCTTTTGAGATGAATGCACACATCACAAGCGTTCCAAATGTCCGCTTGCAGATTCTACAAAAAGAGAGTTTGAAAACTCCTCAATCAATCAAAAGAATGGTTTAATTCTGTGAGGTGAATGCCCACATCACAAGGAGGTTTCTCAGTTTGTTTCTGTCTAGATTTTCTTTTAAGATTTTTTTTTGTACCATAGGCCACAAAGTGCTCCAAATGTCCACTTGCAGAATTTACAAATAGTGTGTCCAAACTGCTCAAAAAAAAGAAATGTTCAAATCTGTGAGCTGAACACACACATCACAAAGAAGTTTCTCAGAATTCTTCTGTCTAGTTTTTATATGAAGATATTCCTTATTCCACCATAGGCGTCAAAGCACTCCAAATGTCCAGTTGCAGATTCTAGAAAAAGAGAGTTTCAAAACTGCTCTTTCAAAAGAAAGGTTTAAATGAGTGAAATGAATGCACACCTCACAAAGAAGTTTCTCAGATGGCTTCTGTCTAAATGTGAAGGTATTTCCTTGTCTGCCATAGGCCGCATACCGCTCCAAATGTCCACTTGCGGATTCCACAAAAAGAGTGTTTCCAAACTACTCAATCAAAAGAAAGGTTCAACTCTATGAGATGAAAGCACATATCACAAAGAAGTTTCTCAGAA
The DNA here is from genome assembly GCF_000001405.40 of Homo sapiens. NCBI lineage: Eukaryota > Metazoa > Chordata > Mammalia > Primates > Hominidae > Homo > Homo sapiens. The sequence goes on from NC_000011.10 coordinate 50,779,737, forward strand.
TTCTTCTGTCTGGTTTTTATGTGAAGATACTTCGTTTTCCACCATTGGCCTCAAAGCGTTCCAAATGTCTACTGGCAGATGCTACAAAAAGAGAGTTTCAAAACTGCTCTATCAAAAGAAAGGTTTAACTCTGTGAGTTGAATGCACACATCACAAAGAAGTCTCTGAGAATGCTTCTGTCTAGATTTTATGTGAAGATATTTCCTATTCTACCATAGAATGCAAAGTGGTCCAAATGTCCATTTGCAGATTCTACAAAAAGAGTGTTTCCAAACTGCTCAATCAAAAGAAAGCTACAACTCTGTGAGATGAATGCAAACATCACAATAAGTTTCTCAGAATGCTTCTGTCTAGTTTTTATGTGAAGATACTTCCTGTTCCACCATAGGCATCAAAGCGCTCCAAATGTCCGCTTGCAGATCCTCCAAAAAGAGATTTTAATAACTGCTCAATAAAAAGAAAGGTTTAACTCTGTGAGATGAATGCCCACATAACAAAGAAGTTTCTCAGATTGATTCTCTCTAGATTTTATGTGAACATATTTCCTTTTCTACCACAGGCCGCAAAGCACTCCAAATGTCCACTTCCAGATTCTACAAAAAGTGTATTTCAAAACTGGTCCTTCAGAAGAAAGGTTCGACTCTGGGAGATGAATGTACACATCACAACGAAGTTTTTCAGAATGCTTCTATCTAGTTTTTATGTGACGATATTTCCTTTCCCACAATAGGCCTCAAAGCGATCCTAGTGTCCACTTGTAGATTCTAAAATACAGAGTTTCATAATTTCTACATCAAAAGAAAGGTTTAACTCTGTGAGGTGAATGCACACAACACAAAGAAGTTTGTCAGATTGCTTCTGTGTAGATTTTATGTGAAGATATTTCCTTTCTAACAGAGGCCACAAAGGCTCCAAATGTCCAATTGCAGATACTACATAAAGAGTGTTTCCAAACTGCACAGTCATATGAAAGGTTCAACTCTATGAGATGAAAGCACACCACACAAAGAAGCTACTCAGAATTCTTCTTTCTAGTTTTTATGTGAATATATTTGCTTTTCCACAACAGGTCTCAAAGAGCTCCAAATGTCCAATTGAAGATTCTGCAAAAAGAGAGTTTCAAAAGCGCTCAATCAAAAGAAAGTTTTAACTCTGTTAGATTAATGCAAACATCACAAAGAAGTTTCTCACAATTCTTCTCTCTAGTTTTTATGTGAAGATATTTCCTTTTCCACCATAGGCCTCAAAGCGCTCCAAATATCCACTTGCAGATTCTACAAAAAGAGTGTTTCAAAACTGCTCAATCAAAAGGAAGGTGCAACTCTGTGTGTTGAGTGCACACATCACAAATAAATTTCTCAGATTGCTTCCACCTAGATTTCATGTGAAGATATTTCCTTTTCTATGATAGGCTGCATGCTGCTCCAAATGTCCTAGTGCAGATTCTACAAAAAGAGTGTTTCCAACTGCTCAATCAAAAGATAGGCTCAACTCTGTGAGTTGAATGCACACAATGCAAAGAAGTTTCTCAGAATGATTCTGTGTAGTTTTTAGTTGAAGATATTTCCTCTACCACAGTAGGCCTCCAAGGGCTCCATATATCCACCTGCAGATTCTGCAGAAAGATATTCAAAACTGCTCAATGAGAAGATAAGTTCACCTCTGTGAGTTGAAGGCACACCTCACAAAGAAGTTTCTCAGAATGCTTCTGTGTAGTTTTTCTGTGAACATATTCGATTTTCCACAGTAGGCCTCTCAGCGCTAAAATATCCACTTGAACATTTTACAAATAGATTCAAAACTGCTCAATCAAAGAAATGTTCAACATTGTGACATGAATGCATACATCATTAAGAAGTTTATCAGAATGCTTCTGTGTAGTTTTTGTGTGAAGATATTTCCTTTTCCATCATAGGCCACAGAGGGCCCCAAATATCCACTTGCAGATTCTACAAAAAGAGAAATTCCAAAGTGCTCAATGAGAAGATAAGTTCAACTCTGTGTGATGAATGCACACCTCGCAAGGAAGGTTCTGAGTTCTTCTGTGTAGTTTTTATGTGAAGATATTTCGTTTTCCACAGTAGACCGCAAAGCTCTTCAAACATCCACTTGCAGATTGTATAAAAAGAGAGATTCTAAACTGCTCAATCAAAAGATAGGTTCAACTCTGTGAGTTGAATGCACACATCAAGAAGAAGTTTCTGAGAATGACTCTGTGTAGTTTTTATTTGAAGATATTTCCTTTTCCACAATAGGCCACAAAGGACTCCAATTATCCACTTGCAGATTCTACAAAAAGAGTGATACAAAACTGCTCAATCAAAAAAGTTTCACCTCTGTGGGATGAATGCACACATCACAAAGAAGTTTCTCAGAATGCTTTTGTGTAGTTTTTATGTTAGGATATTTGCTTTTCCATGATAGGCCTCAAAGCACTCGAAATATCCACTCGCAGATTCATCAAAAAGATTGTTTCAAAACTGCTCAATCATAAGATAGGTTCAACCCTCTGAGATGAATGTACACATCACAAAGGAGTTTATCAGAATGTTTCTGTGTAGTTTTTATGTGAAGATGTATCTTTTTCCACCATAGGCCACAAAGGGCTCCAAATATCCAGTTGCAGATTCTACAAAAAGAGAGATTCAAAACTGCTCAATGAGAAGATAAGTTCAACTCTGTGAGTTGAATGCACATATCACAAGAAGTTTCTCAATATGCTTCTGTATAATTTTTATGTGAAGATATTTCCATTTCCACAATCCACCTCAAAGCTCTCCAGACATCCACTTGCAGATTGTGCAAAAAGAGAGATTCCAAACTACTCAATCAAAAGATAGGTTCAGCCCTGTGAGTTGAATGCAAGCATCACAAAGAAGTTTCTCAGAATGCTTCTGTGTAGTTTTTATCTGTGGATATTTCCTTTTCCACAATAGGCCACAAAGGGCTCAAAATATCCACTCGCAGATTATATAAAAAGAGGGTTTCAGAACTCCTCAATCAAAGGAAAGGTTCAACTCCATGAGATGAATGCACACATCACAAAGAAGTTTCTCAGAATGATTCTGTGTAGTTTTTATGTGGAGATGTATCCTTTTCCACCATAGGCCACAAATGGCTCCAAATATTCACTTGCAGATCCTGCAAAAAGTGAGATTCAAAACTGCTAAATCAAAAGATAGGTTTAACTCTGTGAGTTGAATGCACACAATGCAAAGAAGTTTCTCAGAATGCTTCTGTGTAGTTTTTAGTTGAAGATATTTGCTCTTCCACAATAGGCCACGAAGGGCTCCAACAATCCACCTGCAGATTCTGCAAAAAGATAAATTCAAAACTGCTCAATGAGAAGATAAGTTTAACTCTGTGAGTTGAATGCACAGCTCACAAAGAGGTTTCACAGAATGCTTCTGTGTAGTTTTTCTGTGAACAAATTCAATTTATCACAGTAGGCCTCTCAGTGCTCCAAATATCCACTTGCACATTCTACAAAAAGAGAGATTGAAATCTGCTCAATCAAAAGAAAGGTTCAACTCTGTGAGATGAATGAACACATTGCTAAGAGGTTTCTCAGAATGTTTCTGTGTAGTTTTTATGTGAAGATATTTCCTTTTCCATCATAGGCCACAGAGGGCTCTTAATGTTCACTTGCAGATTCTACAAAAAGAGAGATTCAAAACTGCTCAATGAGAATATAAGTTCAACTCTCTGTGTTGAAGGCACACCTCACAAAGAAGGTTCTCAGAATGATTCTGTGAAGTTTTTGTGTGAAGATATAGGCCTCAAAGCTCTTCAAATATCCACTTGCAGATTCTACAAAATGAGAGATTCTAAACTGCTCAATCAAAAGATAGGTTCAACTCTGTGAGATGAATGCACACATCACAAAGAACTTTCCCAGAATGCTTCTGTGTAGTTTTTATGTGAACATATTTGATTTTCCATAGTAGGCCTCACAGCGCTCCAAATATCCACTTGCAGATTGTACAAAAAGAGAGATTCTAAACTGCTCAATCGAAAGATGGGTTCAACTCTGTGAGATGAATGCACACATCACAAAGAAGTTTCTCAGAATGTTTCTGGGTAGCTTTTATTTGAAGATATTTCCTTTTCCACTGTAAGGTGAAAATGGCTCCAAATATCCACTTTGCAGATGCTACAAAAAGAGAGATTCTAAACTGCTCAATGAAAAGATAGGTTCAACTCTGTGAGTTGAATGCACACATCCCAAAGAAGTTTCTCAGAATTCTTCTGTGTAGTTTTTAGTTGAAGATATTTGCTCTTCCACGGTAGGTATCAAAGGGCTCCAAATATCCACCTGCAGATTCCAAAAAAAAGATAGATTCAAAACTGCTCAATGAGAAGATAAGTTAAACTCTGTGAGTTGAATGCACACCTCACAAAGAAGTTTCTCAGAATGCTTCTGTGTAGTTTTTATGTGAAGATATTTCCTTTTCCACAAGAGGCCTCAAACGGCTCCAAACATTCACTTGCAGATTCTGCAAAAAGAAAGATTCAAAACTGATCAATCGAAAGATAGGTTCAACTCTGTGAGTTGAATGCACACATCAAGAAGAATTTTCTCAGAAGGTTTCTGTGCAGTTTTGAAGTGAACATATTTGATTTTCCACAGAAGGCCTCACAGTGCTCCAAATATCCACATGCAGATGCTACAAAAAGAGAGATTCAAAACTGCTTAATCAAAAGATGGGATCAACTATGTGAGTTGAATGAACACATCATGAAGAAGTTTCTCAGAATGCTTCTGACTAGTTTTTATGTGAAGATATTTCGTTTTCCACAATAGGCCTCTAAGGGCTCCAATTATTCACTTGCAGATTGCACAAAAAGAGTGTTCCAAAACTGCTCAATCAAAACAAAAGTTCACCTCTATGAGATGAATGCACTCATCACAAAGGCCTTTCTCAGAATGCTTCTTTCTAGTTCTTATGTGAGGATATTTCCTTTCCCACAATAGGCCTCAAAGGGCTCCAAATATCCACCTGCAGATTCTACAAAAAGAGTGTCTCAAAACTGATCAGTCAACAGAAAGGTTCAACTCTGTGAGATGAATGCACACATCACAAGAAGTTTCTCAGAATGCTTCTGTTTAGTTTTTATGTGAGGATATTTCCTTTTCAACAATCCGCCTCAAAGGGCTCCAAATATCCACCTTCAGATTCCACAAAAAGAGTGTTTGAAAACTGCTCAATGAAAAGGAAGTTTCAACTCTGTGAGATGAATGCACACATCACAAAAAAGTTTCTCAGAATGCTTCTGTGTACTTATTATCTGAATATATTTGCTTTTCCACGGTAGGCCTCAAAGCACTCGAAATATCCACTTGCAGATTCTACAAAAAGTGTGTTTCAAAACTGCTCCATCACAAGATAGGTTCAAAACTCTGAGCTGAATGCACGCATCACAAAGAAGTTTCTTAGAATACTTCTGTGTAGTTTTTATGTGAACACATTTTATTTTCCACAGTAGGCCTCACAGCACTCCAAATATCCAATTGCAGATACTACAAAAAGTGAGATTCAAAACTGCTCAATGAAAAGATAAGTTCAAGTCTGTGAGTTGAATGCACACATCATGAAGAAGTTTCTGAGATTGTTTCTGTGTAGTTTTTATTTGAAGATATTTCCTTTTCCACCATAGGGTGCAAAGGGCTCCAAATATCCATTTGCAGATTCCACAAAAAGAGAGATTCTCAACTGCTCAATCGAAAGATAGGTTCGACTCTGTGAGTTGAAAGCACATATCCCAAAGTAGTTTCTCAGAATTCTTCTGTGTAGTTTTTAGTTGAAGATATTTGCTCTTCCACAGTAGGTCCCAAAGGGCTCCAAATATCCACCTGCAGATTCTGAAAAAAGGTATATTCAAAACTGCTCATTGAGAAGATAAGTTCACCTCTGTGAATTGAATGCACACCTCACAAAGAAGTTTCTCAGAATGCATCTGTGTAGTTTTTATGTGAAGATATTTCCTTTTCCACAATAGGCCTCAAATGGCTCCAAACATCCACTTGCAGATTCTGCAAAAAGAAAGATTCAAAACTGCTCAAAAAAAAAAAAAAAAATAGGTTCAACTCTTGAGTTGAATGCACACATCACAAAGAAATTTCTCAGAATGCTTCTGTGTAGTTTTGAAGTGAATATATTTGATTTTCCATAGTAGGCCTCACTGTGCTCCAAATATCCACTTGCAGATTGCACAAAAAGAGAGGTTCAAAACTGCTCAATCAAAAGATAAGTTTAACTCTGTGAGTTGAATGCACACATCACGAAGAAGTTTCTCACAATGCTTCTGACTAGTTTTTAAGTGAAGATATTTCCTTTTCCACAATAGGCCTAAAAGGGCTCCAAATAACCACTTACAGATTCAACAGAGAGAGTGTTTCAAAACTGATCAGTCAAAAGAAAAGTTCAACTCTGTGTGATGAATACACACTTCACAGAGAAGTTTCTCTGAATGCTTCTGTGTAGTTTTTCTGTGAAGATATTTCCTTTTTCACAACAGGCCACAAAGGGCTCCAAATATCCACTTACAGTTTCAACAAAAAGAGTGTTTGAAAACAGCTCAATCAAAAGAAAGATTCAACACTGTGGGATGAATGCACACAGCACAAAGAAGTTTGGCAGAATGCTTCTGTGTAGTTTCTATGTGAAGATGTTTGCTTTTCCATGGTAGGCCTCAAAGAGCTCAAAATATCCACTTGCAGATTCTACAAAAAGAGTGTTTCAAAACTGCTCAATCATAAGATAGGTTCAACCCTGTGAGATGAATGCACACATCACAAAGAAGTTTCTCTGAATACTTCTGTGTAGTTTTTATGTGAATATATTTCCTTTTCCACAATAGACTTCAAAGGGCTCCAAAAATCCACTTGCAGATTCTGCAAAAAGAAAGATTCAAAACTGCTTAATCAAAAGATAGGTTCAACTCTGTGAGTTGAATGCACACATCACAAAGAAGTTTCTCAGAATTCTTCTGTGTAGTTTTGAAGTGGACATATTTGATTTTCCACAGTAGGCCTCACTGTTCTCCAAATATACATTTGCAGATTCTACAAAAAGAGAGATTCAAAAGTGCTCAATCAAAAGATAGGCTCAACTCTATGAGTTGAATGCACATATAATGAAGAAGTTTCTAAGAATGCTTCTGACTAGTTTTTATGTGAAGATATTTCCTTTGCCACTATAAGCCTCAAAGGGCTCCAATTATCCACTTGCAGGTTCTAAAAAAAAAGTGTGCCAAAACTGCTCAATCAAATGAAAGGTTCAACTTTGTGAGATGAATGCACACATCACAAAGACGTTTCTCAGAATGCTTCTTTGTAGTTCTTATGTGAGGGTATTTCCTTTCCCAAGATAGGCCTCAAAGGGCTCCAAATATCCACTTGCAGTTTCTACAAAAACAGTGTTTCAAAACTGATCAGTCAAAACAAAGGTTCAACTCTGTGAGATGAATGCACACATCACAAAAAGTTTCTCAGAATGCTTCTGTTTAATTTTTATGTGAGGATATTTAGTTTTCAACAATAGGCCTCAAAGGGCCCTAAATATCCACCTTCAGATTCCACAAAAAAAGTGTTTGAAAACTGCTCAATTTAAAGAAAGGTTCAACTCTGTGAGTTGAATGCATGCATCACAAAGAAGTTTCTCAGAATACTTCTGTGTAGTTTTTAAATGAACATATTTGATTTTCCACAGTAGGCCTCACAGCGCTCCAAATATCCAATTGCAGATTTTACAAAAGAGAGTTTCAAAGCTGCTCAATCAAAAGATAGGTTCAAGTCTGTGAGTTGAATGCACCCATCATGAAGAAGTTTCTGAGATTGTTTCTATGCAGTTTTTATCTGAAGATATTTCCTTTTCCACCATAGAGTGCAAAGGGCTCCAAATATCCATTTGCAGATTCCACAAAAAGAGAGATTCTAAGGTGCTCAATCAAAAGATAGGTTCAACTCTGTGAGTTGAATGCACACATCACAAAGAAGTTTCACAGAATGTTTCTGAATAATTTTTATGCGAAGATATTTCCTTTTCCACAATAGGCCTCAAAGGGATCCAAATATCCAACTGCAGATTCTACAAAAAGAGTGTTTGAAAACTGCTCAATGAAAAGAAAGTTCAACTCTGTGAGATGAATGCATACATCACAAAGAACTTTCTCAGAATTCTTCTGTGTAGTTTTTATCTGAAGATATTTGCTTTTCCACAGTAGGCCTCAAAGCACTCGAAATATCCACTTGCAGATTCAACAAAAAGAGTTTTTCCAATCTGCTCAATTATAAGATAGTTTCACCTCTCTGAGCTAGGTGCACGCATCACAAAGGAGTGTCTCAGAATTCTTCTGTGTAGTTTTTATGTGAACATGTTTGATTTTCCACAGTAGGCCTCACAGTGCTCCAAATATCCAATTGCAGAGTCTATAAAAAGAGAGAATCAAAACTGCTCAATGAAAAGATAAGTTCAAGTCTGTGAGTTGAATGCACACATCATGAAGACTTTTCTGAGATTGCTTCTGTGTAGTTTTTACTTGAAGATATTTCCTTTTCCACCATAGGGTGCAAAGGGCTCCAAATATCCATTTGCAGATTCCACAAAAAGAGAGATTCTAAACTGCTCAATCAAAAGATAGGTTCAACTCTGTGAGTTGAATGCACACATCCCAAAGAAGTTTCTCAGAATTCTTCTGTGTAGTTTTTAGTTGAAGATATTTGGTCTTCCACAGTAGGCCTCAAAGGGCTCCAATGTCCACCTGCAGATTCTGCAAAAACATAGATTCAAAACTGCTCAATGAGAAGATAAGTTCACCTCTGTGAGTTGAATGCACACATCCCAAAGTAGTTTCTCATAATTCTTATGTGTAGTTTTTATGGAAAGATATGTGCTTTTCCACAGCAGGCCTCAAAAAGCTCCAAATATCCACCTGCAGTTTCTGCAAAAAGAGAGAATTGAAACTGCTCAATCAAAAGATAGTTTCAACTCTGTGAGTTGAATACCTACATCACAAAGAAGTTTCTCTGAATGCTTCTGTGAAGTTTTTATTTGAAGATATTTCTTTTTCCACCATTGGGCACAAAGGGCGCCAAATATCCACTTGCAGATTCTACAAAAAGAGGGATTCTAAACTGCTCAATCAAAAAATATGTTCAACTCTGTGAGTTCAATACACACATCACAAAGATGTTTCTCAGAATGCTTCTGTGTAGTTTTTATGTGAACATATTTGATTTTCCACAGTAAGCCTCACAGCACTCCAAGTATCCACTTGCAGATTCTGCAAAAAGAGATTCAAAACTGCTCAATCAAAAGATAGGATCAACTCTGTGTTTTGAATGCACACATCATGAAGAAGTTTCTGAGAATGCTTCTCCGTAGTTTTTATACGAAGATATTTCCTTTTCCACTCTAGGGCACAAAGGCTCCAAATATCCACATGCAAATTCTACAAAAGGAGAGATTCTAACCTGCTCAATGAAAAGATAGGTTCAATTCTGTGAGTTGAATGCACACATCACAAAGAAGTTTCTCAGAATTGTTCTGAGTAGTTTTTATGTGAAGATATTTCCTTTTCCACAATAGGCCTCAAAGGGCTCCAATTATCTACTTGCAGATTCTACAAAAAAAGTGCTTTAAAACTGCTTAATCAAAAGAATGGTTCAACTCTGAGAGATGAATGCACACATAACTAAGAAGTTTCTCAGAATTCTTCTGGGTAGTTTTTATCTGAAGATATTTGCTTTTCCATGGTAGGCCTCAAAGCACTCTCTAAATATCCACTTGCAGATTCTGCAAAGGAGAGTTTCAAAACTGCTCAATCATAAGATAGGTTCAACCCTGTGAGATGAATGCACACATCACAAAAAAGTTTCTCAGAATGCTTCTGCATACTTTTTATTTGAAGATATTTCCTTTTCCACCATAGGCCACAAAGGGCTCCAAATATCCACTTACAGATTCTGCAAAAACAGAGATTCTCAACTGCTCAATCAAAAGATAGGTTCAACTCTGTGAGTTGAATGCACACATCAAGAAGAAGTTTCTGAGAATGACTCTGTGTAGTTTTTATTGGAAGATATTTCCTTTTCCACCATAGGGCACAAAGGGCTCTAAATATCCACTTACACATTCTACAAAAAGGGAGATTCTAAACTGCTCAGTCAAAATATAGGTTCAACTCTGTGAGTTGAATGCACACATCACAGAGAAGTTTCTCAGAATGCTTCTGAGAAGTTTTTATGTGTAGATGTGTCCTTTTCCACAATAGGTCTCAAAGGACTCCAATTATCCACTTGGAGATTCTACAAAAAGTGTTTTAAAACTGCTCCATCAAAAGAAAGGTTCAACTCCGTGAGATGAATGCACACATCTCAAAGAGGTTTCTCAGAATGCTTCTATGTAGTTTTTATGTGAAGATATTTCCTTTTCCACAATAGGCCTCAAGGGGCTCCAAATATCCACTTGCAGATTCTATAAAAAGAATGTTTCAAAACTGCTAAATCGAAAGAAAGGTTCAACTCTGACAGATGAATGCACACATCACATAGAAGTTTCTCATAATGCTTCTGTGTAGTTTTTACCTGAAGATATTTTATTTTCCACTATAGGCCTCAAAGCGCTCCATATATCCATTTGCACATTCTACAAAGAGTGTTTCAAAACTGCTCAATCATAAGATAGGTTCAACCCTGTGAGATGAATGCACACATCACAAAGTAGTTTCTCAGAATATTTGTGTGTAGTTTCAAAACTCCCCTATCAAAAGAAAGGTTCAACTCTGTGAGTTGAATGCACACATCACAAAGAATTTCCTCAGAATGCTTCTGAGTAGTTTTATGTGAAGATATTTCCTTTTCCACAAGAGGTCTCAAAGGGCTCCAAGTATCCACTTCCAGATTCTACAAAAAGAGAGCTTCAAAACTGCTTAATGAGAAGATAAGTTCAACTCTGTGAGTTGAATGCACACCTCACAAAGTAGTTTATCAGAATGCTTCTGTGTAGTTTTTATGTGAAGATATTCCTTTTCCACAATAGGCCTCAATGCTCTCCAAACATCCACTTGCCGATACTGCAAAAAGAGAGATACAAATCTGTTCAATCAAAAGATAGGTTCAACACTGTGAGTTGAATGCACACATCACAAAGAAGTTTCTCAGAATTTTTCTGTGTAGTTTTTTTGTTAACATATTTGATTTTCCACAGTAGGCCTCACAGCGCTCCAAATGTTCACTTGAAGATTCTACAAAAAGAGAGACTCAAAACTGCTCAATCAAAAGATAGGTTCAAATCTGTGAGTTGAATGCACACATCCCAAAGAAGTTTCTGAGAATGCTTCTGTCTAGTTTTTATATGAAGATATTTCCTTTACCACAATAGGCCTCAAAGGGCTCCAAATATCCATTTGCAGATTCTACAAAAAGAGTGTTTCAGAACTGTTCAATCAAAAGAAATGTTCAACTCTGTGAGGTGATTGCACACATCACAAAGTTGTTTCTCAGAATGCTTCTGTTTAGTTTTCATCTGAAGATATTTACTTTTCCATGGTAGGCTTCAAAGAGCTCCAAATATCCACTTGCAGATTCCACGGAATTAGTGTTTCAAATCTGCTCAATTATAAGATAGGTTCAAACCTGTGAGATGAATGCACACATCACAAAGAAGTTTCTCAGAAAGTTTCTGTGTAGTTTTTATTTAAAGATATTTTCTTTTCCACCATGAAGCACGAAGGGCTCCAAATGTCCACTTGCAGATTCTGCAGAGAGACTCAAAACTGCTCAATAAAAAGAGAGGTTCAACTTTGTGAGTTAAATGCACACTTCCCAAAGAAGTTTCTCAGAATGCTTCTGTGTACTTTTTATGTGAAGATATTTGCTTTTCCACAGTAGGCCTCAAAGGGCTCCAAATATCCACCTGCAGATTCTGGAAAAAGAGAGATTCAAAACTGCTCAGTCAAAAGATAAGTTCAATTCTGCGAGCTGTATGCATAAATCCCAAAGAAGTCTCTCTTAATGCTTCTGTGTAGTTTTTATTTGAAGATATTCCCTTTTCCACCATTGGGTGCAAAGGGCTCCAAATATCCACTTGCAGACTCTACAAAACGAGAGATTCAAAACTGCTCAATGAGAAGATAAGTTCAACTCTGTGAGATGAATGCATGCATCACAAAGAAGTTTCTCAGAATGCTTCTGTGTAGTTTTTATGTGAAGATATTTCCTTTTCCATAATAGACCTCAAAGAGCTCCAAATATCCACTTGCAGATTCTACCAAAAGAGTGTTTCAAAACTGCTCATTCAAAAGTAAGATTCAACCCTGAGAGATGAATGCAGACATCACAAAGAAGTTTCTGAGAATGTTTCTCTGTAGTTTTTATTTTAAGATATTTCCTTTTCCACCATAGGCCACAAAGGGTTCCAAATATCCACTTGCAAATTCTGCAAAAACTGAGATCCAAAACTGCTCAATCAAAAGATAGATTGAACTCTGTGAGTTGAATGCATACATCACAAAGATGTTTCTCAGAATGCTTCTGTGTAGTTTTTATGTGAAGATATTAGGTTTTCTACAGTAGGCCTCAAAGGGCTTCTAATATCCACCTGCTGATTCTGCAAAAAAAAAAAGAGCTTCAAAACTGCTCAATCAAAAGATAGGTTCAACTCTGTGAGTTGAAACCATACATCACTAAGAAGTTTCTCTGAATGCTTCTGTGTAGTTTTTATTTGAAGATATTTCCTTTTCAACCCTAGGGCGGAAAGGGCTCCAAATATCCACTTGCAGATTCCACAAAAAGAGAGACTCAAACCTGCTCAACGAGAAGATAATTTCAACTCTGTGAGTTTAATGTACACCTCACAAAGGAGTTTCTCAGAATGCTTCTGGGTAGTTTTTATTTGAAGATATATCCTTTTCAACCCTAGGGTGGAAAGGGCTCCAAATATCCACTTGCAGATTCTACAAAAAGAGAGATTCAAACCTGCTCAAGCAAAACATAGGTTCAAACCTGTGAGTTGAATGCACATATCATGAAGAAGTTTCTGAGAATGCTTCTGTCTAGTTTTTATGTGAAGATATTTCCCTTTACACAATAGGCCTCAAAGCTCTCCAAACATCCACTTGCAGATTCTGCAAAAAGAGAGATTCAAAACTGCTCAATTCAAAGATAGGTACAATTCTGTGGGTTGAATTCACACGTCATGAAGAAGTTTCTCAGAAGGCTTCTGTGTAGTTTTTATGTGAAGATATTTGATTTTCCACAGTGGGCCTCACAGCACTCCAAGTATCCACTTGCAGATTCTACATAAAGAGAGATTCAAAACTGCTCCATCAAAATATAGGTTCAACTCTGTGAGTTGAATGCACATATCATGAAGAAGTTTCTGAGAATGCTTCTCTGTAGTTTTTATTTGAAGATATTTCCTTTTGCACAATATGGCGCAAAAAGCTCCAACTATTCACTTGGAGATGCTCCAAAAAGAGATTCTAAACTGCTCAATCAAAAGATAGGTTCAACTCTGTGTGTGTAATGCACACATCACAAAGAATTTTCTCAGAATGTTTCTGAGTAGTCTTTATGTGAAGATATTTCCTTTTACACAATATGACTCAAAGGGATCCTATTATCCAGTTGCAGATTCTACAAAAAGAGTGTTTCAAAACTGCTAAATCAAGGGAAAGATTCAACTCTGTGAGATGAATGCACACATCACAAAGAAGTTCCTCAGAATGTTTCTGTGTAGTTTTTATCTGAAGATATTTGCTTTTCCACGGTATGCCTCAGAGCACTCCAAATATCAACTTGCAGATTCTACAAAAACAGTGGTTCAAAACCGCTCAATCATAAGATAGGTTCAATCCTGTGAGATGAATGGACACATCACAGAGAAGTTTCTCATAATGTTTCTGTGAAATTTTTATTTGAAGATATTCCCTTTTCCACCATAAACCAAAAAGGGCTCCAAATATCCACCTGCAGATTCTGCAAAAAGAGAGATTCAAAACTGCTCAATAAAAAGAGAGGTTCAACTCTGTGAGTTGAATGCACACATCCCAAAGGAATTTCTCAGAATGCTTCTGTGTAGTTTTTATGTGAAGATATTTGCTTTACCACAGTAGGCCTCAAAGGGCTCCAAATATCCACTTGCAGATTATATAAAAAGAGATACTCAATACTGTTCAATGAGAAGATAAGTTCAACTCTGTCAGATGAATGCACACATCACAAAGAAGTTTCTCAGAATGCTTCTGTGTAGTTTTCATTTGAAGATATTTCCTTTTCCACAATAGGCCTCAAAGGGCTCCAAATATCCATTTGCAGATTCTACAAAAAGAGTGTTTCAAAATTACTCAATCAAAAGATAGGTTCAACTCTGTGAGATGAATGCACACATCACAAAGAAGTTAATCTGAATGCTTCTGTGTAGTTTTTATCTGAGAATATTTGCTTTTCCACTGTTGGTCTCAAAGCACTCCAAATGTCCACTTGCAGACTCAACAAAAGGAGTTTTTCAAAAATGCTCAATCATAACATAGGTCCAACCCTGTGAGATGAATGCAAACATCACAAAGAAGTTTCTCAGAATGTTTCTGTGTAGTTTCTACTTGAAGATATATCCTTTTCTACCTTAGGCCACAAAGGGCTCTAAATATCCACTTGCAAATCCTTCCAGAAGGGAGCTTAAAAACTGCTCAATCAGAAGATAGTTTCAACTCTGTGAGTTGAATGCACACAACCCAAAGAAGTTTCTCAGAATGCTTCTGTGTAGTTTTTATGTGAAGATATTTGCTTTTCCACAGTAGGCCTCAAAGGGCTCCTAATATCCACCTGCAGATTCTGCAAAAACAGAGATTCAAAACTGTTCATTCAAAAGATATGTTCAACTCTGTGAGTTGAAAGCGTACAGCACAAATAAGTTTCTCTGAATGTTTATGTATAGTTTTAATTTGAAGATATTTCCTTTTCGACCCTAGGGCCCAAACGGCTCCAAATATCCACTTGCAGATTCTACAAAGAGACAGATTCAAACCTGCTCAATAAGAACATAAGCTCAACTCTGTGAGTTGAATGTACACTTCACAAAGTAGTTTCTCAGAAATCTTCTACGTAGTTTTTATGTGAAGATATTTCCTTTTCCACAATGTGCCTCAAAGGGCTAAAATTATGCAGTTGCAGATTCTACAAAAATAATGTTTCAAAACTGCTCAATCGAAACAAAGTTTCAACTCTGTGGGTTGAATGCACACATCATGAAGAAGTTTCTGAGAACGCTTCTGTGTAGTTTTTATTTGAAGATATATCCTTTTCCACCATAAACCACAAAGAGCTCCAAATATCCACTTGCAGATTCTGCAAAAAGAGAGATTCAAAACTGCTTAATAAAAAGAGAGGTTCAGGTGGCTCACACCTGTAATCCCAGCACTTTGGTAGGCCAAGATGGGTGGATCACGAGGTCAGGAGATCAAGACCATCCTGGCTAACATGGTGAAACCCCGTCTCTACTAAAAATACAAAAAATTAGCTGGGCGTAGTGGTGGGCACCTGTAGTCCCAGCTACTCCGGAGGTTGAGGCAGGAGAATGGCATGAACCCAGGAGGCAGAGCTTGCAGTGAGCCGAGATTGCACCACTGCACTCCAGCCTGGGTGACAGACCCAGACTCTTTCTCAAAAAAAAAAAAAGTGAAGTTCAACTCTGTGAGTTGAATGCACACATCCCAAAGAAGTTTCTCAGAATGCTTCTGTGCAGTTTTTATGTAAAGATATTTCCTTCAGCACAATGGGCCTCAAAGCTCTCCAAACACCCACTTTCAGATTCTGCAAAAAGAGAGATTCAAAACTGCTCAATCAAAAGACAGGTACTATTCTGTGGGTTGAATACACACGTCATAAAGAAGTTTCTCAGAATGCTTCTGTGTAGTTTTTATGTGAAGATATTTGACTTTCCACAGTAGGCCTCACAGCACTCCAACTATCCACTTGCAGATTCTAAAAAAAGAGAGATTCAAAACTGCTCAATCAAAACATAAGTTCAACTCTGTGAGTTGAATGCACACATCACAAAGATGTTTCTGAAAATGCTTCTCTGTAGTTTTTATTTGAAGATATTTCCTTTTCCACAATATGACTCAAAGGGCTCCAATTATCCAGTTGCAGATTCTACAAAAACAGTGTTTCAAAACTGCTCAATCAAAAGAAAGGTTCAACTCTTTGAGATGAATGCACACAACACAAAGAAGTTCCTCAGAATGTTTCTGTGTAGTTTCTATCTGAAGATATTTGCTTTTCCACGGTAGGTCTCAGAGTGCTCCAAATATCAACTTGCAGATCCTACAAAAACAATGTTTCAAAACTGCTCAAACATAAGATAGGTTCCACCCTGTGAGATGAATGCACACATCACAAAGAAGTTTCTCACAATGTTTCTGTGAAGTTTTCATTTGAAGATATTTCCTTTTCCACCATAAACCACAAAGGGCTCCAAATATCCACTTGCAGATTCTGCAAAAAGTGAGATTCAATACTGTTCAATAAAAAGAGAGGTTCAACTCTGTGAGTTGAATGCACACATCCCAAAGAAGTTTCCAGAATGCTTCTTTGTAGTTTTTATGTGAAGATATTTGCTTTTCCACAGTAGGCCTCAAAGGGCTCCTAATATCCACCTTCACATTCTGCAAAAACAGAGATTCAAAACTGCTCAATCAATCAAAAGATAGGTTCAACTCTGCGAGTTGAATGCACACATCCCAAAGAAGTTTCTCAGAATGCTTCTGGGTAGTTTTTATGTGAAGATATTTGGTTTTCCACAGTAGGCCTCACAGCACTCCAAGCATCCACTTGCAGATTCTACAAAAAGAGAGATTCAAAACTGCTCAATCAAAATATAGTTTCAACTCTGTGAGTTGAATGCACACATCATGAAGAAGTTTCTGAGAATGCTTCTCTGTAGTTTTTATTTGAAGATATTTCCTTTTACACAATACGGCACAAAAATCTCCAACTATCCACTTGCAGATTCTCCAAAAAGAGATTCTAAACTGCTCAATCAAAAGACAGGTTCAACTCTGTGAGTTGAATACACACATCACAAAGAAGTTTCTCAGAATGTTACTGAGTAGTCTTTATGTGAAGATATTTCCTTTTCCTCAATATGACTCAAAGAGCTCCAATTATCCAGTTGCAGATTCTACAAAAAGAGTGTTTCCAAACTGTTCAATGAAAAAAAGGCTCAACTCTGTGAGATGAATGCACACATCACAAAGTAGTTTCACAGAATGCTTCTGTCTAGTTTTTATGTGAGGATATTTCCTTTTCCACCATAGGGCCCAAAGAGCCCCAAATATCCACTTGCAGATTCTACAAAAAGAGTGTTTCAAAACTGCTCTATCAAAAGAAAGGTTCAACTCTGTGTGTTGAACGCACTCATCACAAAGAAGTTTCTGAGAATGCTTCTGTCTAGTTTTTATGTGAAGATATTTCATTTTCTGCCACAGGCCCCAAAGCACTCAAATATACACTTGCAGATTCTAGAAAAAGAGAGTTTCAAAACTGCTCTATCAATAGAAAGGTTCAACTCTGTGAGTTGAATGCACACATCACAAAGTAGTTCTGGGAATGCTTCTGTCTAGTTTTTAAGTGAAGATACTTCCTCTTCCACCAAAGGTCACAGAGCACTACAAAGATCCACTTGCAGATTCTACTAAAAGAGTGTTTCAAAACTGATCTGTCAATAGAAACATTCAGCTTTGTTAGTAGAATGCACTCATCACAAAGAAGTTTCTGAGAGTGCTTCTGTCTAGTTCCTATCTGAAGATATTTCCTTTTACAACATAGGCCCCAAAGCACTCAAAATATCCACTTGCAGATATTATGAAAAGAGTGTTTCAAAACTGCTCTATCAAAGGAAAGGTTCAACTCTGTGAGATGAATGCACACATCACAAAGAAGTTTCCGAGAATGCTTCTGTATAGTTTTTATGTGAAGATATTTCCTTTTACACCATAGGCCTCAAAGCGCTCCAAATATTCACTTGCAGATTCTACAAATAGTGTTTCAAAACTGCTCTATTAAAAGAAAGGTTCAACTCAGGGAGCTGAATGCACATATTACAAAGAAGTTTCTGAGAATGCTTCTGTCTAGTTTTCATATGAAGATATTTCGTTTTAGACCATTGGCATCAAAGCATTTCAAATATCCTCTTGCAGATTCTAGAAAAAGAGTTTTTCAAAACTGCTCTTACAAAAGACTGGTTCAACAGTCTCAGTTGAATTCACACGTCACAAAGAAGTTTCTGAGAATGCTTCTGTCTAGTTTTTATGTGAAAACATTTCCTTTTCCACCATAGACCTCAAAATGCTCCAAATATCCTCTTGCAGATACTACGAAAAGAGTGTTTAAAAACTGCTGTATTGAAAGAAAGGTTCAATTATGTCAGTTGAATTCACTCATCACAAGGAAGCTTCTGAGGATGTTTCTGTCTAGTTCTTATGTGAAAATATTTCCCTTTCCACAATAGGCCTCAAAGTGCTCCAAATATCCACTTGCAGATTCTACAAAAAGAGGGTTTCAAAACTGCTCTAACAAAAGAAAGGTTCAACTCTGTGAGTTGAATGCACTCATCACAAAGAAGTGTTTGACAATGCTTCTGTCTAGTTTTTACATGAAGATATTTCCTTTTCCACCATAGACCTCAAAGCACCCCAAATATCCACTTGCAGATGCTAGAAAAAGACTTTTTCAAAACTGCTCTATCAATAGAAAGGTTCAACTCTGTGAGTTGAATGCACACATCACAAAGAAGTTTCAGGGAATGCTTCTTTCTAGTTTTTATGTGAAGATATTTCCATTTCCACCGTAGGCCTCAAAGTGCCCCAAGTATCCACTTGCAGATTCTACAAAAAGAGTGTTTCAAAACTGCTCTATCAAACGAAAAGTTCAACCCTGTGAGTTGAATGTATCACAAAGAAGTTTCTGACAATGCTTCCGTCTAGTTTTTATGTGAAGATATTTCCTTTTCCACAATAGACCTCTAAGCACTCCAAATATCCACTTACAGATTCCAGAAAAAGACTTTTTTAAAACTGCTCTATTAAAAGAAAGGTTGAACTCTGTGAGTTGAATGCACACATCACAAAGAAGTTTCTGAGAATGCTTTTGTCTTGTTTTTATGTGAAGATATTTGCTTTTCCACAGTGGGCCACAAAGGGCTCCAAATATCCACCTGCAGATTCTGCATAAAGAGAGATTCAAAACTGCTCAATCAAAAGTTAGGTTCACCTCTGTGAGTTGAATGCATACATCACAAAGAAGTTTGTCTGAATGCTTCTGTGTAGTTTTTATTTGAAGATATTTCCTTTTCCACCACAGGGTGCAAAGGGCTCCAATTATCCACTTGCAGATTCTACAAAAAGAGAGATTCAAAACTGCTCAATGAGAAGACAAGTTCAACTCTGTGAGTTGAATGCACACTTCACAAAGAAGTTTCTCAGAATGATTCTGTGTAGTTTTTATGTGAAGATATTTCCTTTTCCACTGTAGGCCTCAAAGCTCTCCAAACATCCAGCAGCAGATTCTGCAAAAAGAGAGATTCAAAACTGCTCAATCAAAAGATAGGTGCAACTCTGTGAGTTGAAGGCACACATCACAAAGAAGTTTCTCAGTATGCTTTGGCCTAGTTCTTTTGTGAAGATATATCCTTTTCCACCATAGGCCTCAATGGGCTTCAAATATCCAATTGAAGTTTCTACAAAAAAAGAGTGTTTCAAAACTGCTCTATCAAAAGAAAGGTTCAACACTGTGAGTTGAATGCGCTCATCATAAAGAAGTTTCTGAGAATGTTACTGTAAAATTTTTATGTGACGATATCTGCTTTTGCACCATAGGCCAAAAGTGCTCCAAATATCCACTTGCAGATTCTTCAAAAAGAGTGTTTCAAAACTGCTCAATCAAAGGAAAGTTTCAACTCTGTTAGTTGAATGCACACAACACAAAAAAGTTTCTGAGAAAGCTTCTGTTTAGTTTTTATGTGAGGATATTTCCCTTTCCACCATAGGCCTCAAAGCGCCCCAAATATCCACCTGCAGATTCTACAAAAAGAGTGTTTCAAAACTGCTCTATCAAAAGAAAGGTTCAACTGTGTGTATTGAATGCACTCATCACAAAGAAGTTTCTGAGAATTCTTCTCTCTAGTTTTTATGTGAAGATATTTCCTTTTCCACCACAGGCCCCAAAGCGCTCCAAATATCCACTTGCAGATTCTACAAAAGGAGTGTTTCAAAACTGCTCAATAAACGGAAAGGTATAACTCTGAGTTGAATGCACACAACACAAAGAAGTTTCTGATAATTCTTCTGTCTATTTTTTATGTGAGGATATTTTCTTTTCCAACATAGGCCTCAAAGTGCTCCATTTATCCACTTTCAGATTCTAGAAAAAGACTGTTTCAAAACTGCTCTATCTAAAGGAAGTTTCAGCTCTCTGAGTTCAATGCAGACATCACAAAGAAGTTTCTGAGAATTCTTCTGTCTAGTTTTTATGTGAAGATATTTCCTTTTCCACCATAGACCTCAATACTCAGAGAGTTGAAACTTCCTTTTGATAGAGCCGTTTTGACACACTTTTTTTGTAGAATCTGCTAGTGGATATTTGGAGTGATTTGAGGCCTTCGATGGAAACAGAAATATCTTCACATAAAAACTAGACAGAAGCATTATCAGAAACTTTTGTGTGATGTGTGCATTCAGCTCACAGGGTTGAAATTTTCTTCTGATAGAGCAGTTTTGGAATACTCTTTTTGTAGAATCTTCAAGTGGACATTTGGAGAGCTTTGAGGCCTATGGTGGAAAAAATCTTCACATAAAAACTAGAAAGAAGCATTCTCAGAAATTTCTTTGTGACATATGCATTAAAATCACAGAGTTGAACATTCCTTTTGATAGAGCAGTATTGAAACACTCTTTTTGTAGAATCTGCAAGTGGATATTCAAAGTGCTTTGAGGCCAATGGTGAAAAAGGAAATATCTTCACAAAAAACTAGACAGAAGCATTGTCAGAAACTTCTTTGTGATGTTTGCTTTCAACTCAGAGAGTTGAACATTCCCTTTTATAGAGCAGTTTTGAAACACTCTTTTTGTAGATTTTCCAAGATGATATTTGGACCACTTAGAGGAATTTGTTGGAAACGAGAATATCTTCACGTAAAAACTAGACAGAATCATTGTCAGAAACTTCTTTGTGATGTTTGCATTCAATTCACAGAGCTGAACATTCCTTTTGATAGAGCAGTTATGAAACACTCTTTTTGTAGGATCTGTAAGTTGATATTTGGACTGCTGAAAGGCCTATGGTGGAAACGGGAAAATCTTCACATTAATACTAGACAGAAATGTTCTCAGAACCTTCCTTGTGATGTGTGCATTCAACTCACCAGTTGAACCTTTCTTTTGATAGAACTGTTTTGAAAAATTCTTTTTGTAGAATCTGCAAGTGGACATTTGGAGTGCTTTGAGGTCTACACTGAAAAAGGAAATAACTTCACATAAAAACTAGACAGAAGCACTTTCAGAAACTTCTTAGTGATGTTTGCTTTCAACTCACAGAGTTGAACATTTCTTTTCATAGAGCAGTTTTGTAGCACTCTTTTTGTATAAACTTCAAGTCGATATTGGGTCACTTTGAGGCCTTCATTGGAAATGGGAATATCTTCACATAAAAACAGGACAGAAGCATTTGAGAAACTTCTTTGTGATGTGTGCATTCAACTCTCAGAATTGAGCATTCCTTTTGATAAAACAGTTTTGAAACTGAAACACTCTTTTTGTAGAATCTGCAAGTGGATATTTTGAGCGCTTTGAGGCCTTTGGTGGAAACAGGAATATCTTCACATAAAAAGTAGACAGAAGCATTCTCAGAAACTTCTTTGTGATGTCTGCTTTCAACTCACAGAACTGAACCTTTCTTTTGATAGAGCAGTTTTGAAACACTCTTTTTGTAGAACCTGCAACTGGATATTTGGAGCGCTTTGAGGCCTATGGTGGAAACGGGAATATCTTCACATAAAAACTAGACAGTAGCATTCTCATAAACTTCTTTGTGAAGAGTACATTCAACTAAGAGGGTTGAACCATCTTTTGATAGAGCAGTTTTGAAACTCTATTTTTGTAGAATCTGCAAGTGAATATTTACACAGCTTTCAGGCCTATGGTAGAAAAGGAAATATCTTCACATAAGAACTAGACAGAAGCATTCTCAGAAACTACTTTGTTTTGAGTGCATTCAACGCACAGGTTTGAACCTTTCTTTTGGTAGAGTAGTTTTGAAACACTCTTTTCCTAGAATCTGCATGTTGATATTTGGAGCTCTTTGAGGCCTTCGGAGGAAATGGGAATATCTTCACATAAAAAATGGACAGATACATTCTCAGAAACTTCTTTGTGAAGTATGCATTCACCTGAGAGAGTTGAACTTTCCTTTTGAGAGAGCAGTTTTGAAAAACCCTTTCAGTAGAATCTGCAAGTGGATATTTGGAGCGCTTTGAGGCCTTTGGTGGAAACTGGAATATCTTCACATAAAAAATGGAGAGAAGCATTCTCAGCAACTTCTTTGTGATGTGTGCATTCAAATCACAGAGTTGAACATTTGTTTTGATAGAGCATTTTTGAAGCACTCTTTTTGTAGAATCTGCAAGTGGATATTTAGATGGCTTTGAGGGTTATGGTAGAAAAGGAAATATCTTCACATCATAAGAAGAAGACAGAAGCATTCTCAGAAACTACTTTGTGATGTGTGCATTCATCGCACAAAGTTGAACCTTTCTTTTGATAGAGTAGTTTTGAAACACTCTTTTTGTAGAATCTGCAACTGGATATTTGGAGCGCTTTGAGGGCTATGGTGGAAACGGGAATATCTTCACATAAAAAGTAGACAAAAGCATTCTCAGAAACTTCTTTCTGAAGTAAGCATTCACCTCAGACAGTTGAAACTTCCCTTTGAGAGAGCAGTTTTGAAACACTCTTTTTGTAGAATCTGCAAGTGGACATTTGGAGGGATTTGTTGCCTATGGTGAGAAGGGAAATATCATCACATAAAAACTAGAAAGAAGCATTCTCAGAAACTTCTCTGTGATGTTTGCATTCAACACACAGAGTTGAACCTTTCTTTTCATAGGGCAGTTTTGAAACTCTTCGTAGAATGTGGAAGTGGACATTTGGAACATTTTGATGCAAATGGTGACAAATTAAATATCTTCACATAAAAACTAGACAGAAGCATTCTCAGAAACTTCTTTGTTATGTTTGAATTTAACTCACAGAGCTGAACATTTCTTTTCATAGAGCAGTTTGAAAACATTCTTTCTTGTAGAATCTGCAAGTGGATATTCGGACCACATTGAGGCCTTCATTGGAAATGGGAATATCTTAACATTAAAAACTAGACAGAAGCATTCTCAGAATTTTTTTTTTTTTGACTTGTGCATTCAACTCAGAGAGTTGAAATTTCCTTTTGATAGAACAGTTTTGAAATCCTCTTTTTGTAGAATCTGCAAGTGGATATGTGGACCGCTATGAGACCTACAGTAGAAAAGGAAATCACTTCATATAAGAACTACACAGAAGCGTTCTAAGAAACTACTTTGTGATGTGTGCATTCAACTCAGAGAGTTGAACGTTCCTTTTGATAGGGAAGTTTTGAAACACTCCTTTTGTAGTACCTGCAAGTGGATATTTGTGCCACTTTGAGGCCTACGGTAAAAAAGGCAATATCTTCATGTAAGAGCTACACAGAGGCGTTCTCAGAAACTACTTTGTGTTGTGTGCATTCAATTCACAGAGTTGAACCTTTCTTTTGGTTGAGTAGTTGTGAAACACTCTTTTTGTAGAATCTGCAAGTGGACATTTGGAGCGCTTTGTTGCCTATGGTGAAAAAGGAAATATCTTCACATAAAAACAAGACAGAAGCATTCTCAGAAACTTCTCAGTGATGTGTGCATTCAACTTAGAGAGAGTTGAACATTTCTTTTGATAGAGTAGTTTTGAAACACTTTTTTTGTAGAATCTGCAAGTGGATATTTGGAGCACATTGAGGCTTTTGGTGCAAACGGGAATATCTTCACATAAAAACTAAACAGAATCATTCTCAGAAATATCTTTGTGATGTGAGCATTCAACTCACAGAGTTGAAACTTTCTTTTGATAGAGCAGTTTTGAAACACTCTTTTTATAGAATCTGAAAGTGGACATTTGGAGTGCTTTGAGGCCTAAGGTGAAAAAGGAATATCTTCACATAAATACTACACAGATGCATTCTCAGAAACTTCTTTGTGATGTGTGCATTCAACTCACAGAGTTGAGCCTTTCTTTTGATAGAGCAGTATTGAAACACTCTTTTTGTAGAATCTGCAAGTGGACATTTGAAGAAATTTGATGCCTATGGTGAAAAAGGAAATATCTTCACATAAAAAATAGACAGAAGAATTCTCAGAAACTACTTTTTATGATTGCATTCAACTCACAGAGTTGAAGATTCTTTTTCATAGAGTAGTTTTGAAACACTCTTTGTAGAATTTGCAAGGGGATATTTGGACCTCTTTGAGGCCTTCGTTGGAAACAGGAATATCTTCACATAAAAACTAGACAGAAACATTCTCAGTAACTTCTTTGTGATGTGTGCATCAAACCCACAGAGATGAACCTTACTTTGATAGAGTAGATTTGAAGCAATCTTTTTATAGAATCTACAAGTGGACAATTGGAGCGCTTTGAGACCTATGGTGAAAAAGGAAATATATTCACATAAAAACTAGACAGAAGCATTCTCACAAACTTCTTTGTGATGTGTGCATTCAACTCACAGAGTTGAACCTTTCTTTTGATAGAACAGTTTTGAAAAAATCTTTTCATAGAATCTGCAAGCAGACATTTGGAGCGCTTTGATGCCTATGGTGAAAAACGAAATATCTTCACATAAAAACTAGACAGAAGCATTCTCAGAAACTACTTTGTTATGTTTGCATTCAACTCACAGAGCTTAACATTCGTTTTCATAGAGCAGCTTTGAAACACTCTTTTTGTAGAATTTGCAGGTGAATATTCGCACTGCTTTGAGGCCTTCATTGGAAACAGGAATATCTTCACATATAAACTAGACAGAAGCATTTTCAGTAACTTCTTTCTGATGTGTGCATTCAACTCACAGAGTTGAACCTTTCTTTTGATAGAGCAGTTTTGAAGCACTCTTTTTGTAGAATCTGCAAGTGGACATTTGGAGCGCTTTGAGGCCTATGTTGAAAAAGGAAATATCTTCACATAAAAACTAGACAGAAGTATTCTCAGAAACTTCTTTGTGATGTGTGCTTTCACCTCACAGGTTTGAAACTTTCTTTTGATAGAACGCTTTTGAAACACTCTTTTTGTAGAATCTGCAATTGGATATTTGGACCACTTTGAGGCATTCAGTGAAAACGGGAATATCTTCACATAAAAACTAGACAAAAGCATTCTCAGAAACTTCCTTGTGATGTGTGCATTCAACTCACAGAGTTGAACCTTCCTTTAAATAGAGCAGTTTTGAAACAGTCTTTTTGTAGAATCTTTAAGTAGATATTTGAAAAGATTTGAGTCCTATGGAGGAAAAGGAATTATCTTCACATAAAACTAGACAGAAGCTCTCTCAGAAACTTGTTTTAGATGTGTGCATTCAACTCACAGAGTTGAACCTTTCTTTTGATAGAGCAGTTTTGAAACACTCTTTTTGTAGAATCTGCAAGTGGCTATTTGGAGCTCTTTGAGACCTGCGATGGAAACGGGAATATCTTCACGTAAAAACTTGACAGAAGGATTGTCAGAAACTTCTTTTTGACGTCTGCATTCAACTCAGAGAGTTGAACCTTCCTTTTGATAGTGCAGTTTTGAAACACTCTTTTTGTACATTCTGCAAGTGGACATTTGGAGCACTTTGAGTCCTTCATTGGAAAAGAAAGTATCTTCACAGAAAATCTAGACAGAAGCATTCTCAGAAACTTCTTTGTGATGTGTGCATTAAATACACAGATTTGAACCTTCCTTTTGATAGAGAAGTTTTGAAGCACTCTTTTTGTAGAATGTGTAAGTGGATATTTGGAGCGCTTTGAGGCCTATGATGTAAACGAGTATATCTTCACATAAATATTAGACAAAAGCACTCTCAGAAACTTCTTTCTGATGTGTGCATTAAACTCACAGAGGTGCACCTTCCTTTTCATAGAGAAGCTTTGAAAAACTCTTTTTGTAGAATCTGCAAGCCGATATGTGGAGCTCTTTCAGGTCTTCAGTGGAAACGGGAATATCTTCACATAAAAACTAGACAGAAGCATTCTCAGAAACTTCTTTCTGATGTGTGCATTCATCTCACAGAGAGGAACGTTCCGTTTGATAGAGCTGTTTCAAAACACTCTTTCCGTAGAATCTGCAAGTGGATATTTAGAGCACATTGAGGACTTCGGTGGAAACAGTGTGTCTTCACATAAAACAACACAGAAACATTCTCAGAAACTTCTTTGTGACGTTTGCTTTCAAATCACAGAGTTGAACATTCCTTTTCATAGAGCAGTTTTGAGACACTCTTTTTGAGGAATTTGCAAGTGGATATTTGGACCGCTTTGAGGTCTTCATTGGAAACGGGATATATTCACATAAAAACTAGACAGAAGCATTGTCAGAAACTTCTTTGTGATGTGTGCAGTCAACTCACAGATTGGAAACTTTCTTTTGATAGAGCAGTTTGGAAACACTATTTTTGTAGAATCTGCAGGTGAATATTTGGAGCGCTTTGAGGCCTATTGTGAAAAAGGAAATATCTTCACATAAAAACTAGATAGATGCATTCTCAGAATCTTCTTTGTGATGTGTGCATTCAACTCACAGAGTTGAACCTTTCTTTTGATAGGGGAGTTTTGAAACACTCTTTTTGTAGAATCTGCAAGTGGACATTTGGAGTGCTTTGAGGCCTTTTGAGAAAAAGGAAATATCTTCACATAAAAACTAGACAGAAGCATTCTCAGAAACTTCTTTGTGATGTGTGCATTCAACTCACAGACCTGAACCATTCTTTTGATTGAGCAGTTTTGAAACACTCCTTTTGTAGTATCTGCACATGGATATTTGGAGTGCTTTGAGGCCTATAGTTCAAAAGGAAATATCTTCACATAAAAACAAGACAGAAGCATTCTCAGAAACTTTTTTGTGATGTTTTCTTTCAACTCGCAGAGTTGAAACTTTTTTTTGATAGAGCAGTTTTGAAACACTCTCTTTGTAGAATCTGCAGGTGGACATTTGGAGTGCTTTGATGTCCCTGGTGAAAAAGGAAATATCTTCATATGAAACCTAGACAGAAGAATTCTCTGAAACTTCTTTGTGATGTTTGCTTTCACGTCAGAGAGTTGGACATTCCTTTTCATACAGCAGTTTTGATAGAGTTTTTCTTTAGAATTGGCATGTGGATATTTGGACCGCTTTAAAGCCTTTGGTGGAAACGGGAAAATCTTTACATAAAAACTAGACAGAAGCATTTTCAGAAACTTCTTTGTGATGTGTGCATTCAACTCACAGAATTGAACCTTGCTTTTGATGTAGCAGATTTGGAACACTCTTTTTGAAGAATCTGCATTTGGATATTTGGAGCACACTGAGGCATTTGGTGGAAATGGAAATATCTTCACATAAAAACTAGATAGAATCATTCTCAGAAACTCGTTTTTCATGTGTGCCTTCAACTTACAGAGTTGAACCTTTCTTTTGATAGAGCAGTTTTGAAAAACTCTTTTTGTAGAATCTGCAAGTAGACATTTGGATCTCTTTGAGGCCTTCAGTGGAAATGTGAATATCTTCACATAAAAACTAGACAGAAGCATTCTCAGAAACTCCTTTGCGATGTGTACATTCAATTCACAGAGTTGAACCTTCCTTTGGATAGAGCAGTTTTGAAGCAATCTCTTTGTAGAATCTGCAAGTGGACATTTGGAGAGCTTTGAGGCCTATGATGAAAAGGGAAATATCTTCACATAAAAACTAAACAGAAGCATTCTCAGAAACCTCTTTGTGATGTGTGAATTCAACTCACAGAGTTGAACATTTCTTTTGATAGAGTAGTTTTGAAACACTCCTTTTGTAGAATCTGCAAGTGGACCTTTAGAGTACTTTCATGCCTAAGGTGAAAAAGGAAATATCTTCACATAAAAATAAGACAGAAGCATTCTTAGAAACTTCTTTGTAAAGTTTGCTTTCGACTCACAGAGTTGAACATTCCTTTTCATAGAGCAGTTTTGAAACACTCTTTTTGTAGAATATGCAAGTGGATATTTGGACCGGTTTGAATCCTTCATTGGAAACGGGATGTCTTCACATAAAAACTAGACAGAAGTATTCTCAGAAACTTCTTTGTGATGTGTGCATTCAACTCACAGAGTTGAACATTCCTTTTGAAAGAGCAGTTTCAAAACACTATTTTTGTAGAATCTTCAAGTGGACATTTGGACCTCTTTGAGGCCTTCGGTGGAAACAGGAATATCTTCACATAAAAACTAGACAGAAGCATTCTCAGAAACTTCTTTGTGATCTGTGCATTCAACTCGCAGACGTGAACATTCCTTATGACAGAGCAGTTTTGAAATAAAACTAGACAGAAGCATTCTCTGAAACTATTTTGTGATGTGTGCCTGCAACTCACAGAGTTGAACCTTTCTTTTGATAGAGCAGTTTTGAAACACTCTTTTTGTAGAATCTGCAAGTGGACATTTGGAGCACTTTGATGCCTATGGTGGAAAAGGAAATATCTTCACATAGAAACAAGACAGAATCATTCTCAGAAACTGCTTTGTGATGTGTGCTTTCAACTCAGAGGGACGAAAATTCCCTTTCATAGAGCAGTTTCAAAACACTCTTTTTGTAGAATCTGAAAGTGGATATTTGGACCACTTAGAGGCCTTCATTGGAAACGGGAATATCTTCACATAAAAACTAGACAGAAGAATTATCAGAAACTTCTTTGTGATGTGTGCATTCAACTCACAGAGATGAACATTCCTTTTGAAAGAGCAGTTTTGAAATGCTCTTTATGTAGAATCTGCAAGTGGATATTTAGAGCGCATTAAGGACTTTGGTGGAAATGGTTTATCTTTACCTAAAAACAAGACAGAAGCATTCTCAGAAACTTCTTTGTGACGTTTGCTTTTAAATCACAGAGTTGAACATTCCTTTTCATAGAGCGGTTTTGAGACACTCTTTTTGTAGAATTTGCAAGTGGATATTTGGACCACTTTGAGGCCTTCGTTGGAAACGGGATAACTTCACAGAAAAACTAGACAGAAGCATTCTCGGAAACTTCTTGGTAATGTGTGCATTCAACTCGAGAGGTGAGCCTTTCTTTTGATACAGAAGTTTTGAAACACTCTTTTTGAAGTATCTGCAAGTGAATATTTGGAGTGCTTTGAGGCCTATTGTGAAAAAGAAAATATCTTCACATAAAAACTAGACAGAAGAATTCTGAGAAACTTCTTTTTGATGTTTGCTTTCAACTCAAAGAGTTAAACCTTTCTTTTGATGGAGCATTTTTGAAACACTCTCTTTGTAGAATCTGCAGGTGGACATTTGGAGTGCATTGATGCCTCTGGTGAAAAAGGAAATATCTTCACATGAAATCTAGACAGAAGCATTCTCAGACACTTCTTTCTGATGTTTGCTTTCAAATCAGAAAGGTGGACATTCCTTTCCATACAGCAGTTTTGATACAGTCTTTCTTTAGATTTTGCATGTGGATATTTGGACTGCTTTGAGGCCTTGGGTAGAAACGGGAATATCTTTACATACAAAGCAGACAGAAGCATTCTCAGAAACTTCTTTGTGATGTGTGCATTCAACTCACAGAATTGAACCTTCCTTTTATGGAGCAAATTTGGAACACTCTGTAGAATCTGCAAGTGGACGTTTGGAGCACTTTGAGGCCTATGGTGAAAAAGAAAATATCTTCACATAAAAACTAGACAGTAGCATTCTCAAAAACTTCTTTTTGATGTTTGCCTTCAATTCAAAGAGTTGAACCTTTCTTTTGATAGAGGA
Organism: Homo sapiens; assembly: GCF_000001405.40. Taxonomy (NCBI): domain Eukaryota; kingdom Metazoa; phylum Chordata; class Mammalia; order Primates; family Hominidae; genus Homo; species Homo sapiens. The sequence continues at coordinate 50,809,821 of NC_000011.10, forward strand.
GTTTTGAAACACTCTTTTTGAGGAATCTGCAAGTGGACATTTGGATTGCTTTGAGGCCTGTGGTGAAACGAAATATCTTCACATAAAAACTAGTCAGAAGCATTCTCAGAGAGTTCTTTGTGATGTTTGCTTTCAACTCACAGAGTTGAACATTCCTTTTCATAGAGCAGTTTCAAAACACTCTTTGTGTAGAATCTGCAAGTGGATACTTGAACAGCTTTGAGGCCTTCTTTGGAAATGGGATATCTGCACATAAAAACTAGATAGACACATTCTCAGAAACTTATTTGTGTTGTGTGTATTCAACTCACAGACGTGAACCTTTCTTTCGATAGAGAAGTTTGAAACACTCTTTTTGCAGAATCTGCAACTGGATATTTGGAGCACTTTGAGGCCTATGGTGAAAAAGGAAATTTCTTCACATAAAACTAGATGGAAGCGTTCTCAGAAACTTTTTTGTGAAGTGTACATGCAACTCACTGTGTTGAACCTTTCTTTTGATAGAGCAGTTTTGTAACACTCTTTTTGTAGAATCTGCAAATGGATATTTGGTGCCCTTCGAGGCCTATGGTGAAAAAGTAAATATATTCACATGAAAACTAGACAGAAGCATTCTCACAAACTTCTTTGTGATGTTTGCTTTCAACTCACGGAGTTAAACATACCTTTTCATAGAGCACTACTGAACCACTCTTTTTGTAGAATTTGCTAGTTGATATTTGGACCGCTTTGAGGCCGTCATTGGAAATGGGATATCTTCACATAAAAACTAGAAAGAAGCATTCTCAGAAACCTCTTTGTGATGTGTGCATTCAACTCACAGAGTTGAACTTTTTTTTTGATAGAGCAGTTTCAAAACACTCTTTTTGTGGAATTTGCAGGTGGATATTTGGAACGCTTTGAGGCCTTCTTTGGAAACGGGATATCTTCACATAAAAACTAGACAGAAGCATTCTCAGAAACTTTTTTGTGATGTGTGCATTCTACTCACAGAGTTGAATACTCCTTTTTATAGAGCAGTTTTGAAACACTCTTTTAGGAGAATCCGCAAGTGGATAATTGGACCACTTTGACGCCTTCAGTGGGAACGGGAATAACTTCACATAAAAATTGGACAGAAGCGGTCTCAGAAACTTCTTCACAATGTGTGCATTCAACTCACACAGTTGAACCTTTCTTTTGATAGAGCAGTTTTGAAACACTCTTTTTGTAGAATCTGGAAGTGGATACTTGGAGCGCTTTGAAGCCTATGGTGAAAAAGGAAATACCTTCACATAACAACTAGACAGAAGCATTCTCAGAAACTTCTTTGTGATGTGTGCACTCACCTCTCAGAGTTGAACCTTTCTTTTGATAGAGTAGTTTTGTAACACTATTTTTGAAGAATCTGCTAGTGGATATTTGAAGCCCTTTGATGCCTATGGTGAAAACCGAATTATGTTCACATAAAAACTAGACAGAAGCATTCTCAGAAACTTCTTTGTGTTGTTGGTTTCCACTCACAGAGTTGAAAATTCTTTTTTATAGAGCAGTATTGAAACACTCTTTTTCTACAATTTGCAAGTGGATATTTGGACCACTTTGAGGTCTTCTTTGGAAACGGGATATCTTCACATAAAAACTAAAAAGAATCATTCTCAGAAAATTCTTTGTGATGTGTGCATTCAATTCACAGAGTTGATCATTCCTTTAGATTGAAGAGTTTCGAAAACTCTTTTTATAGAATTTACAAGTGGATATTTGGACCGCTTTTAGGCCTTCTTTGGAAATGGGATATCTTCACTTAAAAACTAGACAAAAACATTCTCCAAAAATACTTTGTGATGTCTGCATTCAACTCACAGAGTTGAACATTCCTTTTGATACAGCAGTTTAGAAACTCTCTTTGTCTAGAATCTTCATGTGGATATTTCAACAGCTTTGAGGCATTTGTTGGAAATGGGAATATCTTCACATAAAAATTAGACAGAAGCATTCTCAGAAACTTCTTTGTGATGTGTGCATTCAACAACTGACAGAGCTCAACCTTTCTTTTGATAGAGCAGTTTTGAAACACTCTTTTGGTAGAATCTGCAAGTGGACATTTGGAGCCCTTTGACGCCTATGGTGAAAAAGGAAATATCTTCACATAAAAACTAGACAGAAGCATTCTCAGAAACTTCTTTGTGATGCGTGCATTCAACTCACAGAATTGGACCTTTCTTTTCATTGAGTAGTTTTGTAACACTCTTTTTATAGAATCTGCAAGCAGACATTTGGAGCTCTTTGATCCCTGTGGGGAAAAAGGAAATATATTCACTTAAAAACAATACAGAAGCATTCTCAGAAACTTCTCTGTGATGTTTGATTTCAACTCACAGATTTGAACATTCCTTTTCATAGAGTAGTATTGAAACACTCTTTTTGTAGTATTCGCAAGTGGATATTTTGACGGCTTTGAGGCCTTCATTGGAAAAGGAATATCTTCACAAAAAAACTAGACAGAAGCATTCTCAAAAATTTCTTTGTGATTTGTGCATTCCGCTCACAGAGTTGAACATTCCTTTTGATAGAGCAGTTTCGAAACACTCTTTTGGCAGAATCTGCAAGTGCATACTTGGATCTCTTTGAGGCCTTCATTGGAAGCAGAATATCTTCACATAAAAATTAGACAGAAGCATTCTAAAAAACTTCTTTATGATGTGTGCATTCAACTCAGAGAGTTCAACATTCCTATTGATAGAACAGTTTTGAAACACTCTGTCTGAAGAAACTGCAAGTGGATATTTGGACCGCTTTGAGGCCTTTGGTGGGAACGGGAATATCTTCACATAAAAATTAGACAAAAGCATTCTCAGAAACTTCTTTGCCATGTGTGACTTCAACTCACACAGTTGAACATTTCTTTTGATAGAGCAGTTTTAAAACACTCTTTATGTAGAATCTGCAAGTGGATATTTGGAGCACTTTGAGGCCTATGGTGAAAAAGAAAATAGCTTCACATAAAAACTAGACAGAAGCATTCTGAGAAACTTCTTTGTGATGTGTGCATTCAACTCACAGAGTTGAACTTTTCTTTTGATAGAGCAGTTTTGTAACACTATTTTTGTAGAATCTGCAAATGGACATTTGGACCCCTTTGATGTCTATGGTGAAAAAGGTTATATGTTCACATAAAAACTAGACAGAAGCTTTCTCAGAAACTTCTTTGTGATGTTTGCTTTCCACTCACAGAGTTGAAAATTCCTTTTTATAGAGGAGTGTTGAAACACTCTTTTTCCAGTATTTGCAAGTGGACATTTGGACCGCTTTGAGTCCCTCTTTGGAAACGGGATATCTTCACATAAAAACAAAAAAGAAGCATTCTCAGAAACTTCATTGTGATGTGTGCATTCAACTCACAGAGTTGAACGTTCCTTTAGATAGAGCAGTTTCCTAACACTCTGTTTGTAGAATTTGCAAGTTGATATTTGGACTGCTTTGATGCCTTCATTGGAAACAGGATATCTTCATTTAAAAACTAGACAAAAGCATTCTCAGAAACTTCTTTTTTTTATTATTATTATACTTTTAAGTTTTAGGGTACATGTGCACATTATGCAGGTTAGTTACATATGTATACATGTTCCATGCTGGTGCGCTGCACCCACTAACTCGTCATCTAGCATTAGGTGTATCTCCCAAAGCTATCCCTCCCCCTCCACCCACACCACAACTGCCCCCAGAGTGTGATATTCCCCTTCCTGTGTACATGTGATCTCACTGTTCAATTCCCACCTATGAGTGAGAATATGCGGTGTTTGGTTTTTTGTTCTTGCGATAGTTTACTGAGAATGATGATTTCCATTTTCATCCATGTTCCTACAAAGGACATGAACTCATCATTTTTTATGGCTGCATAGCATTCCATGGTGTATATGTGCCACATTTTCTTAATCCAGTCTATCATTGTTGGACATTTGGGTTGGTTCCAAGTCTTTGCTATTGTGAATAATGCCGCAATAAACATACATGTGCATGTTTCTTTACAGCAGCATGACTTATAGTCCTTTGGGTATATACCCAGTAATGGGATGGCTGGGTCAAATGGTATTTCTAGTTCTAGATCCCTGAGGATTCTCCACACTAACTTCCACAATGGTTGAACTAGTTTATAGTCCCACCAACAGTGTAAAAGTGTTCCTATTTCTCCACATCCTCTCCAGCACCTGTTGCTTCCTGACTTTTTAATGATTGCCGTTCTAACTGGTGTGAGATGGTATCTCAATGTGGTTTTGATTTGCATTTCTCTGATGGCCAGTGATGATGAGCATTTTTTCATGTGTTTTTTGGCTGCATAAATGTCATCTTTTGAGAAGTGTCTGTTCATGTAGTTTGCCCACTTTTTGATGGGCTTGTTTGTTTTTTTCTTGTAAATTTGTTGGAGTTCATTGTAGATTCTGGATATTAGCCCTTTGTCAGATGAGTAGCTTGTGAAAATTTTCTCCCATTTTGTAGGTTGCCTGTTCACTGTGATGGTAGTTTCTTTTGCTGTGCAGAAGCTCTTTAGTTTAATTAGATCCCATTTGTCAATGTTGGCTTTTGTTGCCATTGCTTTTGGTGTTTTAGACATGAAGTCCTTGCCTATGCCTATGTCCTGAATGGTAATGCCTAGGTTTTCTTCTAGGGTTTTTATGGTTTTAGGTCTAACGTTTAAGTCCTTAATCCATCTTGAATTGATTTTTGTATAAGGTGTAAGGAAGGGATCCAGTTTCAGCTTTCTACATATGGCTAGCCAGTTTTCCCAGCACCATTTATTAAATAGGGAATCCTTTCCCCATTGCTTGTTTTCCTCAGGTTTGTCAAAGATCAGATAGTTGTAGCTATGTGGTGTTATTTCTGAGGGCTCTGTTCTGTTCCGTTGTTCTATATCTCTGTTTTGGTACCAGTGCCATGCTGTTTTGCTTACTGTAGCCTTGTAGTATAGTTTGAAGTCAAGTAGCGTGATGCCTCCAGCTTTGTTCTTTTGGCTTAGGATTGACTTGGCGATGTGGGCTCTTTTTTGATTCCATATGAACTTTAAAGTAGTTTTTTCCAATTCTGTGAAGAAAGGCATTGGTAGCTTGATGGGGATGGCATTGAATCTGTAAATTACCTTGGGCAGTATGGCCATTTTCACGATATTGATTCTTCCTACCCATGAGCATGGAATGTTCTTCCATTTGTTTGTATCCTCTTTTATTTCATTGAGCAGTGGTTTGTAGTTCTCCTTGAAGAGGTCCTTCACATCCCTTATAAGCTGGATTCCTAGGTATTTTATTCTCTTTGAAGCAATTGTGAATGGGAGTTCACTCATGATTTGGCTCTCTGTTTGTCTGTTGTTGGTGTATAAGAATGCTTGTGATTTTTGTACATTGATTTTGTATCCTGAGACTTTGCTGAAGTTGCTTGTCAGCTTAAGGAGATTTTGGGCTGAGACAATGGGGTTTTCTAGATATACAATCATGTCAACTGCAAACAGGGACCATTTGACTTCCCGTTTTCCTAATTGAATACCTTTTATTTCCTTCTCCTGCCTAATTGCCCTTGCCAGAACTTCCAACACTATGTTGAATAGGAGTGGTGAGAGAGGGCATCCCTGTCTTGTGCCAGTTTTCAAAGGGAATGCTTCCAGTTTTTGCCCATTCAGTATGATATTGGCTGTGGGTTTGTCATAGATAGCTCTTATTATTTTGATATACGTCCCATCAATACCTAATTTATTGAGAGGTTTTAGCATGAATGGTTGTTGAATTTTGTCAAAGGCTTTTTCTTCATCTATTGAGATAATCATGTGGTTTTTGTCTTTGGCTCTGTTTATATGCTGGATTACATTTATTGATTTGCATATATTGAACCAACCTTGCATCCCAGGGATGAAGCCCACTTGATCATGGTGGATAAGCTTTTTGATGTGCTGCTGGATTCATTTTGCCAGTATTTTATTGAGGATATTTGCATCAATCTTCATCAAGGATATTGGTCTAAAATTCTCTTTTTTTGTTGTGTCTCTGCCTGGCTATGGTATCAGAACGATGCTGGCCTCATAAAATGAGTTAGGGAGGATTCCCTCTTTTTCTATTGATTGGAATAGTTTCAGAAGGAATGGTACCAGTTCCTCCTTGTGCCTCTGGTAGAATGTGACTGTGAATCCATCTGGTCCTGGACTCTTTTTGGTTGGTAAGCTATTGCCACAATTTCAGATCCCGTTTTTGGTCTATTCAGAGATTCAACTTCTTCCTGGTTTAGTCTTGGGAGGATGTATATGTCGAGGAATTTATCCATTTCTTCTAGATTTTCTAGTTTATCTGCGTAGAAGTGTTTGTAGTATTCTCTTATGGTAGTTTGTAATTCTGTGGGATCGGTGGTTATATCCCCTTTATCATTTTTTATTGCATCTATTTGATTCTTCTCTCTTTTTTCTTTATTAGTCTTGCTAGCGGTCTAACAATTTTGTTGATCCTTTCAAAAAACCAGCTCCAGGATTCATTAATTTTCTGGAGGGTTTTTTGTGTCTCTATTTCCTTCAGTTCTGCTCTGATTTTTGTTATTTCTTGCCTTCTGCTAGCTTTTGAATGTGTTTGCTCTTGCTTTTCTAGTTCTTTTAATTGTGATGTCAGGGTGTCAATTTTGGATCTTTCCTGCTTTCTCTTGTGGGCATTTAGTGCTATAAATTTCCCTCTACACACTGCTTTGAATGCATCCCAGAGATTCTGGTATGTTGTGTCTTTGTTCTCGTTGGTTTCAAAGAACATCTTTATTTCTGCCTTCATTTCGTTATGTACCCAGTAGTCATTCAGGAGCAGGTTGTTCAGTTTCCATGTAGTTGAGTGGTTTTGAGTGAGATTCTCAATCCTGAGTTCTAGTTTGATTGCACTGTGGTCTGAGAGATAGTTTGTTATAATCTCTGTTCTTTTACATTTGCTGAGGAGAGCTTTACTTCCAAGTATGTGGTCAATTTTGGAATAGGTGTGGTGTGGTGCTGAAAAAAATGTATATTCTGTTGATTTGGGGTGGAGAGTTCTGTAGATGTCTATTAGGTCCGCTTGGTGCAGAGCTGAGTTCAATCCCTGGGTATCTTTGTTGACTTTCTGTCTTGTTGATCTGTCTAATGTTGACAGTGGGGTGTTAAAATCTCCCATTATTAATTTGTGGGAGTCTAAGTCTCTCTGTAAGTCACTCAGGACTTGCTTTATGAATTTTGGTGTCCTGTATTGGGTGCATATGTATTTAGGATTGTTAGCTCTTCTTGTTGAATTGATCCCTTTACCATTATGTAATGGCCTTCTTTGTCTCTTTTGATCTTTGTTGGTTTAAAGTCTGTTTTATCCGAGACTAGGATTGCAACCCCTGCCTTTTTTTGTTTTCCATTTGCTTTGTAGCTCTTCCTCCATCCTTTTATTTTGAGCCTATGTGTGTCTCTGCATGTGAGATGGGTTTCCTGAATACAGCACAATGATGTGTCTTGACTCTTTATCCAATTTGCCAGTCTGTGTCTTTTAATTGGAGCATTTAGTCCATTTACATTTGAAGTTAATATTGTTATGTGTGAATTTGATCCTGTCATTATGATGTTAGCTGGTTATTTTGCTCGTTAGTTGATGCAGTTTCTTCCTAGTCTCGATGGTCTTTACTTTTTGGCATGATTTTGCAGCAGCTGGTACCGGTTGTTCCTTTCCATATTTAGCACTTCCTTCAGGAGCTCTTTTAGGGCAGGCCTGGTGGTGACAAAATCTCTCAGCATTTGCTTGTCTGTAAAGTATTTTATTTCTCCTTCGCTTATGAAGCTTAGTTTGGCTGGATATGAAATTCTGGGTTGAAACTTCTTTTCTTTGAGCATGTTGAATATTGGCCCCCACTCTCTTCTGGCTTGTAGGGTTTCTGCCGAGAGATGCGCTGTTAGTCTGATGGGCTTCCCTTTGTGGGTAACCCGACCTTTCTCTCTGGCTGCCCTTAACATTTTTTTCTTCATTTCAACTTTGAGGAATCTGACAATTATGTGTCTTGGAGTTGCTCTTCTCGAGGAGTATCTTTGTGGTGTTCTCTGTATTTCCTGAATCTGAACGTTGGCCTGCCTTGCTAGATTGGGGAAGTTCTCCTGGATAATATCCTGCAGAGTGTTTTCCAACTTGGTTCCATTCTCCCCATCACTTTCAGGTACACCAATCTGACGTAGATTTGGTCTTTTCACATAGTCCCATATTTCTTGGAGGCTTTGCTCATTTCTTTTTATTCTTTTTTCTCTAAACTTCCCTTCTCACTTCATCTCATTCATTTCATCTTCCATTGCTGATACCCTTTCTTCCAGTTGATTGCATCGGCTCCTGAGGCTTCTGCATTCTTCACGTAGTTCTCAAGCCTTGGTTTTCAGCTCCATCAACTCCTTTAATCACTTCTCTGTATTGGTTATTCTAGTTATGCATTCTTCTAAATTTTTTTCAAAGTTTTCAAGTTCTTTGCCTTTGGTTTGAATGTCCTCCTGTAGCTCAGAGTAATTTCATCGTCTGAAGCCTTCTTCTCTCAGTTGTCAAAGTCATTCTCCATCCAGCTTTGTTCCGTTGCTAGTGAGGAACTGCGTTCCTTAGAGAAGAAGAGGTGCTCTGCTTTTTAGAGTTTCCAGTTTTTCTGTTCTGTTTTTTCCCCATCTTTGTGGTTTTACCTACTTTTGGTCTTTGATGATGGTGATGTACAGATGGGTTTTTGTTGTGGATGTCCTTTCTGTTTGTTAGTTTTCCTTCTAACAGACAGGATGCTCAGCTGCAGGTCTGTTGGAATACCCTGCCATGTGAGGTGTCAGTGTGCCCCTGCTGGGGGTGCCTCCCAGTTAGGCTGCTCTGGGGTCAGGGGTCAGGGACCCACTTGCAGAGGCAGTCTGCCCGTTCTCAGATCTCCAGCTGTATGTTGGGAGAACCACTGCTCTCTTCAAAGCTGTCAGACAGGGACATTTAAGACTGCAGAAGTTACGGCTGTCTTTTTGTTTTTCTGTGCCCTGCCCACAGAGGTGGAGCCTACAGAGGCAGGCAGGCCTCCTTGAGCTGTGGTGGGCTCCACCCAGTTTGAGCTTCCTGGCTGCTTTGTTTACCTAAGCAAGCCTGGACAATGACGAGCACCCCTCTCCCAGCCTCGCTGCTGCCTTGCAGTTTGACCTCAGACTGCTGTGCTAGCAATCAGCGAGACTCCGTGGGCATAGGACCCTCCGAGCCAGGTGCGGGATATAATCTTGTGTTGTGCCGGTTTTTAAGCCCATCAGAAAAGTGCAGTATTCAGGTGGGAGTGACCCGATATTCCAGGTGCTGTCCGTCACCCCTTTCTTTGACTAGGAAAGGAAACTCCCTGACCCCTTTGCTTCCCAAGTGAGGCAATGCCTCGCCCTGCTTCGGCTCATGCACAGTGCACACACCCACTGACCTGTGCCCACTGTCTGGTACTCCCTAGTGAGATGAACCCAGTACCTCAGTTGGAAATACAGAAATCACCCATCTTCTGCGTCGCTCACTCTGGGAGCTGTAGACCGGAGCTGTTCCTGTTCGCCCATCTTGGCTCCTCCCCCAGAAACTTCTTTGTGATGTGTGCATTCAACTCACAGAGTTGAACATTCCTTTTGGTAGAGCAGTTTAGAAACACTCTTTTTGTAGAATCTGCATGTGGATATTTGGACAGCTTTGAGGCCTTCTTTGGAAACGGGAATAACTTCACATAAAAATGAGACAAAAGCATTCTCAGAAACTACTTTGGATGTGTGCATTCAACTCACAGAGTTGAACGTTTCTTTTGATACAGATGTTTTGAAACACTCTTTTTGTAGAGTCTGCAAGTGGATATTTGGGAAGATTTGAGGCACTCGGGGGAAATGGGTATATCTTCACATAAAAACTAGACAGAAGCATTCTTAGAAACTTCTTTGTGACGTGTGCACTCAACTCACAGAGGTGAATCTTTCTTTTGATAGAGCAGTTTTGAAACACTCTTTTTGTAGAATCTGCAAGGGGACATTTGCAGCGATGTGCAGCCTATTGTGGAAAAGGAAATATTTTCACATAAAAACTGGACAGAAATATTCTTAGAAACTTCTTTGTTACGTGAGCATTCAGCTCACAGAGTTGAAACATTCTTTTGATTGAGCAGTTTTACAACACTCTTTTTGTAGAATCTTCAAGTGGACATTTGGAGCGCTTTCAGGCCTATGCTGAAAAAGGAAATATCTTCACATAAAAAAAAGAAGCATTCTCAGAAACTTCTTTGTGATGCCTGCTTTCATTTCACAGAGTTGAACATTCCTTTCCATATAGCAGTTTTGAAACACTCTTTTTGTAGAATTTGCAAGCAGATATTTGGACCGCTTTGAGGCCTTCATTTGAAGTGGGATATCTTCACATAAAAACTAGACAGAAGTATTCTCAGAGACATCTTTGTGATGTGTGCATTCAACTCACATTGTTGAACATTCCTTGGGATAGAGCAGTTTCGAAAAACTCTTTCTGTAGAATCTGCAAGGGGATATTAGTACTGCTTTGATGCCCTAGGTGGAAACGGGAATATCTTCACATAAAAACGAGACAGAAGCATTCTCAGAAAGTTCTTTGTGATTTGTGCACTCAACTCAAAGAGTTGAACCGTTCTTTTGATAGAGGAGTTTTGAAACACTCTTTTTGTAGGAGCTGCAAGTGGACATTTGGAGCGCTTTGAGGCCTACGGTGAAAAAGGAAATATCTTCACATAAAAACTGACAGAAGCATTCCCAAAAACTTCTTTGTGATGTGTGCATTCAACTCACACTGTTGAACCTTTCTTTTGATAAAACAGTTTTGTAACACTCTTTTTGTAGAATCTGCAAGTGGACATTTGGAGTGCTTTGAGGCCTGTGGTGAAAAAGGAAATATCTTCACATAAAAACTAGACAGATGCATTCTGAGAAACTTCTTTGTGATGCAGGCTTTCAACTCACAGAATTGAACATTCCTTTTCATAGAGCAGTATTGAAACACGATTTTTGTAGAATTTGCAAGTTGATATTTGGCCCGTTTTGAGACCTTTGTTGAAAATGGGATATCTTTACATAAAAACTAGACAGAAGCATTCTTGGAAACTTCTTAGTGATGGGTGCATTCAACTCACAGAGTTGAACATTCCCTTTGATAGAACAGTTTCAAAACACTCTTTTTGTAGAATCTGCAAGTGGATATTTCAACTGCTTTCAGTAATTCCTTGGAAATGGTAATATCTTCACATAAACACTAGACAGAAGCATTCTCAGAAACTTGTCTGTGATGTGTGCAATCAACTCACAGTGTTAAACCTTTCGTTTTGAAGCACTCTTTTTGTAGAATCTGCAAGTGGACATTTGGAATGCTTTGAGGCCTATGGTGAAAAAGGAAATATCTTCACATAAAAACTAGACAGAAGCATTCTCAGAAACTTCTTTATGATGTTTGCTTTCAGTTCACAGAGTTGAACATTCCTTTCCATATAGCAGTTATGAAACACTCTTTTTGTAGAATTTGCAAGCGGATATTTGGACTGCTTTGAAGCTT